>NC_000011.10:97475454-97778485 GCF_000001405.40 Homo sapiens | reverse complement strand
GGATATTCAAAAGCTTGATTCCATGCTTGCTTGAAGCTCATATGTCCTGTACTTCCTGTTTGGTTTCTCTTTGAGCTACTTCAAGTTATCTTTCTGTTCATTGTTACCAAAGGAATCTTTCCTAAATGAACTAAGTTGAAGATTTCTTAAAAGAAGAAGCATTTGACCGATGTTTTAAAGGAAAACAATCATTAACACTTGTTAAATATGTCCTATGTGTCAGATATATGCTATACACTGAAACCCAAAAATATGAATGACACGCTCAAAAAGCTGACTCAAAAGTGGATGTTAACATATAAACAGGTATAAGGGAAATTTAGCATGCTTAGCACTATAAAGAATTATGATAAAAATGGTGAGACATGACACATGAGCCGGATATTACTGTAGGAAAAGAGAAGAAAACATATCCTAGGCATGAAGAATTCAAAATGACTTAGATTTGATTTTTTAAATTGTAATAGTTGAAGTGTTGGAAGTAGCTGAGATCACTTGGAAGGAGGAAGAAATTCATGGAATAAATATTAAGGAACCTAGACGAACATTATTATTAAAGAATATATTTTAGAAAAAAAAATATCAAAAAAGAAAATACAGGCTTAATAGTTTCCAAAGAGATTTAACTATTAGAATAAATTAAAGCCTTATAAATGATTTTTGAATCATCCCTGGACATTGGAAGTATTTTCCTTTAAATTTAATCCATTTTATTAAAACTGTACTAATTTTTATGCCTTAAAAAAGATTATATAAGAGACCTTCAAAGTCACTTTCTCAGACTTCCCCTTCCCATCCTCTCTCCCCGTCTTAAACCCGAATTGCTCAACCAGTGGATATGAACACCTCAAGAACAGTTTCTTCCTTTCAACTCACCATTTTGAAGAATCATCTATTCCTAAAACAAGTGGAATAGTCAATTCACCCTTCTGGATAAAGCCCTCTGCCTTCCCAACTTTTTTTTTTTTTTCTCCCAAGACAAAACATTCCCTCAAAATATTTTTGTGCTCAGGATTTTCAAATAAACGTTTATGATTAGCCAAGGCTCTAGCTGATTTTGTTCTACAGTTATTAGTGTTGTGGCTTGAATCAGGACCGGGCCCCCTTATGCTCAGTCCAGGCCACTTCAACAGGACATATCATGCCAATGATTCTTTGATGGTTTCCTTCCTTAGCGGCCCAGCGTCTGCACACCTGAGTAAGTTTTGCTCCTGATGAACTAGCGCTCCACTCCCTTTGCATTAAAGTACCACATAAATGTTTACTCCTCTGGCTTAAGCATTTTAGGAAAATCTTTATTGTAATTTGCTTCACTATTTCAGGGAGATCATGCATGATGCAGGAGCAAGTAACAAGTCTTTCTGAATGTGATTATTTGTCTCTCATTTATTGTTGTCACTGTAATATGAGCAATTATCTATCATTCAACGTGTCCCCAGTTTGTTGCCCATCCTCTTACATGTACAATCATTATGGTGCCAATGACACTAAATATTTAGCACAAAATAGCTGAAGCTCTGTAGAATGTTACCAAAGACAATTTAGAACTTTTATAGCCACTTGTGGAATTTGATATATGAACAAAGGAAGCCATTTGTGAGGTGCCTTAGAATGAAAGGATTCAAAGATTATAGATATCAATGGTCAGCATTTTTTACTGGTACAAAGATGTCTCAACAATATATGAAAATTCTAAAATTCTTTTCATTATGAATTCCTTAGAGAAATGTAAAAACAGTACATACTTCCTCTCATTCTTTCTGCCCACCTGCAAATTGGTCTCCCTCCTGGACTCTTGTAATTTGATTTCCTCCTTCCTCTTACTCTACTCCTTTTTCTTCTGTGCTTTTTCCAAACATTTTTGCTCTTTCTTTGACCTCCCCTGTCGCTGAGAAATATACCCTCCTAATGTGTAACTTGGGTAGAGAAAATGACCAGCCTCATCAGTCCTATAGTCTAGAACTTGGCAAAGATCAGATTTGCAAAACCCAGCTAATATCTTTTCTTTTTTTGAAATGGAGTTTCACTCTTGTCATCCAGGCTAGAGTGCAGTGATGTGATCTTGGCTCACTGCAACCTCCGTCTACTGGCTTCAACTGTTTATCCTGCCTCAGCCTCCTAAGTAGCTGGGATTACAGGCGCTCGCTGTCACGCCCAGCTAATTTTTGTGTTTTTAGTAGAGAAGAGGTTTCACCATGTTGGCCAGGCTGGTCTAGAACTCCTGGCCTCAGGTGATCCGTCCACCTTGGCCTCTCAAAGTGCTGGGATTACAGATGTGAGCCACTGCGCCTGGCCACGATCTTTTCAAACCCTCATATGGAAAGACAAAAAAAAAATAGGATTGATTTTAGAAATTATAATTCAGGATTCCCTTATTTCTATGAATTAGTGATATTGTGAGCCCCCAAATTGCTAAGACTTTGTTAAAATAAAGGAAGATAGATTGATTACTAAAAGGACTGTGGATATGTGGGTCAATATTTGATAATGGATACATACAAAATAATATAAAAATAGGACAAGACCTTTTAGCAGCTATATTTATCCTTAGGTATTTTCTGTTAAAATTACTTGATCTATAAACAGAAAAAGGATAAGTTCTTCATTGATTTCAGAATTTACCTAACTACCCTCTTTTGGACCTATTCTGGTCTCACTGAGGGTGAAGATATCACAACTACCTAATCTATTTTTGGTGGTGGTGTTGAGTAACCCCTGGATGAACCACTTAGTGGGCAGTACACTCAACTCATAGTCTTTAATCCTACAACCTAAAATCATGTCACCCTAACAAGAATCCAGGGCTGGACCAGAATTACTTTTGAATCCCCTAACCCTCTTAAAGCTGGATGCCACCAAGCAAAAATACCAAAACAGACTGCCTGGTTTTCCCATTAGAGAAAGTAAAGAAGCCTGAAGTTCAGAAATGGTCAAGGTAAAATTGTGAATATACAAAATAAGTCTATACATCCAACCTCTTTTGTTCATATCAGTATGTAAGAAGTAATCAAGAGGAGATGTTCTCTTTATGGAAACAGTTGTATTTAATGATCAAACTGTCTTACTATGGTACGTAGATCAGAAGGGGGTGAGAGAAGTAAAGTTACACTATTAGCTCATTGAGTAGCTTCTGCCGTAAAAATCACAGATTGACAAACTGCAATTAGTCTGAGAAGTTGAACACAAGACACGTTAATTTCAATAGCCCTATTAGCATGACTGAAATTAACTGATCAGTAACAAGAACAAAAGAATTGGCCGGGCGCGGTGGCTCACGCCTGTAATCCCAGCACTTTGGGAGGCCAAGGCGGGTGGATCATGAGGTCAGGAGATCGAGACCATCCTGGCTAACAAGGTGAAACCCCGTCTCTACTAAAAATACAAAAAATTAGCCGGGCGCGGTGGCGGGCGCCTGTAGTCCCAGCTACTCGGGAGGCTGAGGCAGGAGAATGGCGTGAACCCGGGAAGCGGAGCTTGCAGTGAGCCGAGATTGCGCCACTGCAGTCCGCAGTCCGGCCTGGGCGACAGAGCGAGACTCCGTCTCAAAAAAAAAAAAAAAAAAAAAAAAAAAAAAAAAAAAAAGAATTAACACTGAAAATACCACAGAGAACACCAATACTTGTCAATAACCAGGTGTAATAAATCTGCCAAGAGTGGGCAGAGGGCCATGTCAGCCCCTCCATCTTGCAGCTTTTGGCAGGAATCACAAATTTGGCATGCAATTATAGCCTCTGCATTAGCGTTTGTGTGTGTGTGCCCAGTGTAGGAGGGTGAGTGTGCTGCCATGTCCAGTGTGGTGACGAGTTTATGTGGTAATTGGAGCAGCAGGGACAGCACAGGCACTGTCAGGAGCTGGATGCCCATCTGCTTCATCAGTGAACTGACCATTACCATGGGCATCTATGTGAGCCACCCATCCAGGCAGCTTGAGCAGCAACCACAATTTTATTTTACAGTTTGTATTCCCAAAGATGTGTCCTTAATCTGCAACTCAAGCTCGGAGAGTTTGAGTTCTGTCCACTGAGTGGAGTGTCCATGCCCAATACCAGTTCATGAATTTAATCCAATTCACATTTCTTCTCAACCATATATGTGGATTTCTAGGTAGGAGATATTACATATTGAATATTCTGTTTGCCTCTAGAAATATACAAAGTATTCTAGGGAGACCCTAGTTGATGTGTCCCTTCCACAATTTTTCTCACAAATAATGATATTCAAGTATTTGTCAAAATATTCATATTTTTAAGAAAACTGTCAGTGTGGCAGGTTGCTTGTTGCCACTTAGGTATGTGTTATGGCAGGGACTCTAAGTTTACTTATTAAGCATTGGCAATTTACCAACCAATCAAATTCATATTTCTATGTCTGTGAAAGTCATGACTTGAATTGCTTTCATCTCCTAAGTGTCTAAATCAATAATTAGGAATAAAGAAAATTCCCACTTTGTCAAGTTGAAAGCCTGAGATCTTTGTGCATGCTAATTATGTAAATTTCCACTTCAAAAAAAAGGTAGCTTCAAAAAGAAAAAGGAAAGAGAATATATTGCTTTAAGGAGAGATCTGTTTAGCAAAAATGGCAAAAAAAAGAGATAGGTATTTTCTTTCATTGATACCTTTCTTTGAATTCTAAGAGAAGAAACCAAGTTAAGAAATAGAATGTGGCTGATTTTATGAAATTTCAATACAATAAAAATGTTAATTAGACAATTGAGGAAAGCATTCAGTATAGATCAGACATTCAAATTAGGATTTCTTAAAAGAAAATAATTCATCAGAGATATCTGTGTATGAAGTTCTAGTGAACAGTATTCAAAGCTGGGAGAAAAGGCCCAGGGAATTTTCTTTATCTATGCTGTGACTTCATATAAATTCATGTTATATACTTACAACATAAGTTTTGTACACATACATGTGTTCAAATACAACAGGACTATTCAGGCATATTATATACAGAAAATAATAAAATTTTTATAATTATACATAATTCAATTTTAAGTGTTCTATCAGTGTTTTATATTAATAACATGTTTAAATTTACTCAAGATTTTTATTCTATAAATCTATATTTATGGAGGAGGAAAATATCTCAATATGTTTATATAATTACAATCTCAACAAAAACATAAATAGTTTTTCAAAAGTATTGCCACCAAGATATTTATTCACTATACTTTTATATTTGTGTAAAATTATTTTTTTACTCTTCAAGCAAGGGCTACTAAAAGTTGTACACATTATTTTGAAAAGCAAAAGAGTAAAATCAACTTGGAGTATATTAGGGCATTTCTTAATTATTGTATACTATTTTACTGCCTCCAATTCTATACCAGATTCAAGTTAGATACACAAAAAAAGTGCAATCATTAATTGAGACATTTTGATTTTTTTTTAATGCGGTCACCTTTTAAATAAAACCTATTGGTATTCCATGAATGCATAGAGTGCTATGCATTCAAAATAGAAGCCATGCAGAGGGGCAGAATTCTCAAAGGAGAAGGGTTATCTGCACACATATTCATCATCGAAATAGCCAGCTAACAGAAAACAGGGCTGCAAACATTACACATAACCCTGGACAGCTGTAACTCTGAGTGAGTCCTAGGAGGAATGAGATCCACACCGCCATCTGTTCGCAGACATTCCTGACGTTCTACAATTGATTTGCTACTATCACAAGTCAATTAAGGACATTTGTTTTAAACAGGGCATACAAAAATAGAAGACAAAATAACATTGAACTGCCAACTTTTTGCTTTGATGGCTTATCCTGGGAATAGGAATGAGTGAAAAAAAGGGAATTGTAAATATGCCTCTTTTTAATATTTACAGTTATATATACAACGTTAACATCTCACAAGTGATTTCTTCGTCAAAGAAAGATGCAGACATAGGTATTCTATTTGAGACACCATAGGATCAGTGCCTCATTTTCACAGCTATTTAACATCAGAAATATGAGTATATATCAAATCTATATTAAAACTGACCAATAAGTAAATCATTTTCTCAGGTTTTATAAAGCTATTTTTAACAATTAAAGTAGATTTGGTGTACAGATGTATGGCTAGCTACTTTTATCTGGGGATCTCAAAATGCTTGTAGCTTGTTAGCATTTTTTATAGGATGGCTACATCTGAATTCATAAAAAAGTGTTTTAGGAAAGATTAATTACAGAAATTAGACAACTTAGTGTGTTACTATAGAAGAATATGCAAAGTGATGAACTGAAAATAATCACCACTACATTTCAGATTTCATAACTTATACTTGAACGCTTATACTCTTTTCATGGGATATAGGTGTTCTTGCCTTAAGAAAAAGGTAATTTTACTTTAGCATATGAAAATGTACATAGTAACTTCTTTTTTCAGAAAGCATATAACATCACAGTTCATTGGTTGTTGAAAGGGCTTTAGTGTACCTTGTTGCTGAAAAATGAGTGAATTGTGATTTGTGGACATATTCTACATCATAATAATACTTAGAAAGTTTATAAGCAAAGTTGGTACACAAAAGAAATTAATGTTGGCTAGATCCAATGTATTGACCCCAATCCGTACCTACATTATTATGTCAATAGTTGAAAGTCTGTGCAAAAATGTAGGTTTCTATTTGTTTTTAGTTAAAAGTTTCTAATGTATTTCTTTTTGAGTGTTATTAAAATATAGCAACTTTTGCAGCAACAATTTCTTTGTTGTTGTTTGCTTCCTGGCTTCAGTAAAACCCACCAGGAAATCTTCCACCTGGTGTTTTAAACTGGTGATTCAAATGATCAAGAAGAGGTTTGGGAGCTATGATAGCTCAAACAAAATAGCATTTCTTTTCGTTTGGAGAACCATGTCTTCCCAGAGTAACAGTCATACGGAAGTGCCAAAATCTGAGACTAAAACTACGTACTTAATGATTGTTATCTTATTAAGACTCAGATCACCTAGGATTTTTTACTGAAGAATGAGGCATAAAACTCCATACATATTTTGCAAAATACCACATTGTAATTCAGAAATTTCCTGTTACAACTGAAGCCTATGATTCTGAAAATGCCAATTTAGTGGAGCACAAGTCAGATGGACTGAGTTCAATAATGTGTGTGAATAAAGGCTGCTGTTAAATAACTCTTAAATGTAATGAATAAGCAAAAGAGCAGGGGCACATTTTTCCTTTGACTTGCAAATTAGTTCCAAGACTCTTTCACCATTATTGAAATATCATGCTACTGATATAGATGATTAGAGGTAATACACAATGTAGACAGATAATTTCCTCCAGAAAATTTATCTACTAATGGAATGAATAATGGTAATAGATAAGATTTTTAAAATATTATATATAAGTGTATATATATATATATATATAAAAATTCACCATGATATATGAACTGCATGTTTAATTTATATATAAACATAGAGTCAAAAAATAATGTCACAAATTTTCCAAATATCAGAATACTATCTTCAGTAAACTATTTATTTACAGATTTAGTGCTGCTGTGGTTTGAATATAATTGGTTTGACCACCTCAAGTCTCCAGTTGAAATTTGATTCCAGATGTTAGAGGTAGGACCTAATAGGAGTTTATGTCATGTTGGCAGATCCCTCACGAATAACTTGGTACTGTCCTGTCAGGAATGAGTTAGTTCTCATTCTTTTAGTATCAGAGAGAGCTGATTGTTAAAAGGAGTCTGGCACCTCTCTACTTCCCTCTGGCTTTTCTCTTTCACTATGTGGTATGTCCAAGCCAGCTCCCCTTAGCCTTCTGCCATGAGTAGAAGCAGCCTGAGATTCTCACCAAGAGCAGAAGCTGGCACCATGCTTCTGGTATAGCCTAAAGAACCATGAGCCAAATGAACCTCTTTTCTTTATAAAGTACCCAGCCTTAGGTATTCCCTTATAGGAACACAGATGGACTAAAACAAGTGCCAATCAAGCAATGGAGCAGCCCCCAAAAAAGGAAGGATGTGTAACTCATTAGAGGATGTGACAAATTCATAAAAGTGCCATGTCTCTTTTTCAGGGTGCATTTCAGAATCAGTTGGGGAATATTTTTAAAATGCACATGCCCTGAAAGCCAGTAGCTTAAATGAAACGTTAAATAAATCAGACTACATAAAAATTGAAACTTCTTTATCAAAAATTTATCATAGATTAAAGGCAGTGTACAATTATTTGCAATCCATATACAAAGAACTAATTTTGAATGAATTCTTAAGAATACTTAAGAAAAGAGAAAAACGACCCCATTAAAATAGAAATACAGATACTTCAGTGAAAAGTAACACCTGTTTTCTATTTTTGTAACTGCAACAATAAAAACTTGGTCACGATATAAAATCATGTAATATGAACATTAGTGGGATGCATCCAGAGCAGAGTTTAGAGGGTAAGTTGTGGTTATGAATGATTATACTAGAAAAGAAGCAAGTATAAATCAATAATCAAATACCATACCTTAGTTAACTAGAAAAAGAAGAGCAAGGGCTGAGCACAGTGGCTCACTCCTGTAATCCCAGCACTTAGGGAGGCAGAGGTGGGAGGATTGCTTGAGTCCAGGAGTTTGAGGCTGCAGTGAGTTATTATCACATCACTGCACTCCAGCCTGGGTGACAGAGCAAAACTCTTTCTTAGGAAAAAAAAAAAAAGAGGGAGAGAGACAGCAAACTAAACCTAGAGTAAGTACAAGAAAGGGAATTACAGTAATAAAAATAATAACTGAAGTCAATTTTACAGATGTTGAATTAATAGAAAACTAAGATAAAATAGACAAAACTCAAGGCAACCAAATATTCTTATAGTTTATAAACCTCTAGCTAGAGTGATCAAGAATGAAAAGGAGGACCCGTATTGTCAATATCAATAGTAAAAGAGGGTATGGTGCTACAAATCCTACAGAAAAGAAAATACCAAGAATACATTATAAGCCACATTTTGTTCCTCAAAAATCAACAACTTAGGTGAATTGGACTAATATCTTAAAAAATCCTAAGTTATTATGATAATAAGAAATCTGACATAAGAACTAGAAAATCTGACTAACCCTCTAGTTACTATAAAAATTGAGTCCATAATTTAAAAAACGTTCTACAATGAAATCTTCAAGCCCAGATGGCTCCATTGGTGTTCATTTTATCAGACATTTATAGAAAATAAACAACATAAATCCACCACAAACAATATCTTTCAAAAAAAAAGATGAAGATATCACAACAAAAATAATACTATAAACCATCAGCCTCTATAAACATTGAAACCAAGTCCTTAACTAAATATTATCAAATGATCAAAAATATATAAAAAGGTAAATGTAAATAAAGAAAACAAGAACAATATAATATTAATAGGTGACAAAAATACATCTGACAGAATTTTAACAATGCGTAACTATAAAAATTCATAGGAAACCAGAATGGGGAAAAACTTTGCATTGATGCAGAGATTTTATAAATATTAACAGCTACTATTATTCTTAATGGTAAAAATCTGAATTCTTTTTCTCTGTTAGCAAGAACAAGGTCAGGAATGAACCCTCACTTATTCAGCAACGTGGAGATTCTAGCACATTCAATAAGGGATGAAAAGGAAATAAAAGGCATGCAAATTAGCAAGGAAAAAAGTAAAACTTTTCATTTGGAGAGGCATTACCATCTACACAGAAAAATACAAAAAATCTAAAATGAGAAAAAAGTCTATTAGAACACATAAATTTCTTTAGAAAGATGAAGAACACAGGTGAATAAAAAAAGTATTTGTAAAATTAGCAATGAACAATATAAAATGAAATAAAAAAAGACAATTATATTTCTACCAAAGTATGTGCAAGACCTGTTCCCTGTCAATTGCAAACATTGCTAAGAGAACAATGAAGGAGTTTAGAATGTGGTGCCCTAAAATATGTCACGCTGTCATGAGGATTATTTTGAGCTAAGGCAATCGGGAAAAGGTAGATAGCACTGACTCTCTGCCCTCCCGCAACCAGCTGAGAAGAAGGCATAAATTCCCCTAGTGAAAATCTCCCTGCCCACTTTTTCTTGAGTAGCAAGGGGAGAACAACCTTACCACCAGAGAAGGAGAGAGCCTATATGAACCTCTACCCTTATCTACCTTTCCTACCGTTAGTGTCCCCCATGTCTTTAAGTTTCCACAATTTAGTCCCCCTAAAGTGTTCAGAAACCCCTTTATTTTGTCTAGTCACTTCTCTATAAGTTCATAATCTTTCTCTGCATAGCCTAAATATCTCCAATCCCAGTCGCTTCCTTGGAAGATTTTTTAAGAATCCTCCTTCCCCTCCTCCCTCTCATGCCATGTAAAACTTTTAACATCAAATAAACCTGTGTACCTTTTTCCTGTAAATCTGTCTTTCATCAGTTTATTTTGCAAGCCCAGCCACTGATCCTGAGGTTAGAGAAAAAGTGTACCTCCCATACAATTAGAAACTGTAAATAAATGTAAAGATATAACAAATTCATGGAGGCAAAGAATCAATATTATCAGGTTTTTGGTTTTCCCAAATCAAACTATAGATTCAATGTGGTACCAAACAGAAATCCTAGCAGGCTTTTTTAAAAACAGTGACAAATTGACAAATTGATTCTAATATTTATAAGAAAATACAAATAACCTACAATAATCAATAACTTTAAAAAAACTAAGTTATATAAAATAATTATTGTATTTGCTTGTTCATTATGTACCTTTAACAAGTTTTAGCTATCATAATCATCGTTTTCAAATTTGTTTATCTATTTCTGGGGAATCAGAATTTAAGATTCACTTAATCAACTAAAACTGGTTGTGCTGGTAATGTGGCAATGATAGTTAACTAAGGACAGATTACTTATTTTTTAGGTCCCTGAGTGTTAGGGACTCTGACAGTTCCCCTGTTACAGGTTGAGTCCCCTGAAAGCAGGTGCTGAGATGGATGCAATAGGCTTACTAAAAATCGATACCTGTCTAGGATGAGAAGGAAGAGGACTAGGCAGAAAACAAAGTTAAACTCTTATGCAGAACTGGTAAATCCTCAGCCAACATGGCGGGAACTCTGGCATGAGTATTGCCCATCTAAGTATCCTGCACTGGGCTGAAATGGACAGGCCTTTACACCCTTCTCTCCTTTACCAGATGAGGGCTTTCCCTGATGGCATGACTTTGGGAAAAGGAGCCTCTCTGTAGCTAGGGCAAACCTGAAGGAACTGACAACTGAATATTGTCTGCTGACTGCAATTGTTCTAGATACCCAGCAAGTTCTTTACAAGATTACCTGGTCAAGGCATCTCCACATCTACCAGATCTCTCCAGTGTTGTATCTGTACAACTTAACAGCATGTGGCTAGCAATTTTAAATGCTTTACAAGCTTCAGAATATTCCTCACATATATAATCACATTTAATCTTCATGAGAATCTTGTAACATAGGTTTTAGGCAAACTGTTAAAGCAATCAAGGAGGTATGAAATATGCATGGTAGATGCTGTCATTAGATAGTAAATGCAAGGGTGTTTTTGGCTATATTTTTTAAATGAGGTGACTAGCAGGTATTTAATTTAAATTATTTTTGTTAATTTGAAGTTTTAAGATTTTAGATGCAACATTTAAGAGCAACGATACAGGTAAAAGTGCCGACATTCAGAAGCCCAAAGTCTCTGCATTTTCACACTAGGTGTTTCCACCTTAGACATTATGAGCAGAGTGAAACTTGACAAAGCCAGGACAACCCACTAGAAAAAAAAGCTGAGTAATTTTTCTGTAGAAGAAAACGTGCATATGAAAATTGCAACAGAGTTAGGTTTATACATAATGCAACATTGTGTTGAGTTCCATGAGGTCAAAAAAATGGATAAGGTATATATTCTATGTGAGAGTTTGTGTGTATAGAGAAAGACATAAAAGAAGAGGCAAAAGGACTGAAAAAATAATATATACCCATAAAAGAGGGTTAAAAAATACAAACTTTTTTTTTTTTTGAGACAATGTCTCCCTCTGTCCCCCAGGCTGGAGTCCTGTGGTGTGATCTCAGCTCACTGCAGCCTTGACCTCCCAGCTTAGCCTCCCAAGTAGCTGGGACCACAGGCGTGAACCACCACACCTGGCTAATTTTTGTATTGTTTTGTAGAGGCAGAGTTTCACTGTGTTGCCCAGGCTGGCCTTGAACTCCTGACCTCAAACGATATGCCTGCCTTGACCTCCCAAAGTGCTAGGATTACAAGCATGAGCCACCATGCCTGGCCTAAATACAACCATTCTTAATACTCTCAACCCTCCATATTCGTGGGTTCTACATTCCTGGATTCAACCAATCATGGATAAAAAATATTCATAAAAAATAAAAATAACAATAAAACAACACAACAATAAAAATAAGGCAAATATTAAGGATACACTATAACAGGCTGGGCACGGAGGCTCATGCCTATAATCCAAACACTCGGAGAAGCCAAGGCATTTGGATGACTTGTGGCTAGGAGTTCGAGGCCAGCCTGGCCAACATAGTGAAACCCCCGTCTTTACTAAAAATACAGAAAATTTAGCCAGGCTTGGTGGTTCACACCTGTAATCCCAGTTACTCAGGAGGCTGAGGCACAAGAGTCATTTGAACCTGAGAGGCGGAGGTTGTAGTGAGCCAAGATTGTTCTACTGCACTCAAGCCTGGGTGACAGAGAGAGACCCTGTCTCAAAAAACAAAAACAAAACAAAACAAAAACCAAAAAAACCACTATAACAACTATTTACATAACATTTACATTGTATTGGGTATTTTGAATAATCTAGAGAGGATTTAAAATATACAGGGGAATGTGTGCAGGTTATATACAAATACTACTCTATTTTGTGTAAGGTATTTGAGCATCTGCAAATTTTAGTGTCTTTAGCGTTTAGTGAGTGGGGTCCTGGAACCAATCCCCCACAGATATTGAGGGCAACTCTATATGGTTTTCTCCTATTTCAGGAACAGATTAACAGGAAGAAAGTTGTCACAAAAGTTTGCATCGTTAATGCAAAACACTGATATAAGTAAGATATTCTTGAATCTCTAGGAAGTTTGGCTATATTGATATTATGAGAAATTATTGCTACCATTTCCTAAGAATTCTATCATTCTCAATCCTGGAATATTTGAAATCAATTAACAGTTAAAATTATGTTTATGAAGATTCAAGCAGTACTGTAATAACACATAAGCACTCCCCAAAATAACACAGTTTTTGCATATCGTCAGTTCAGGTGTTCAATTTTGGGGAATAGAGAATTGCTTCTACATTTCTAACTGGCATCTGGAAATGCAGAGGGTCAGTGTGCTGGTGTTGCCCTGGGGAGATAAGTGGAAGGTAGGGAACCTCGAAGTTTGAGAAGGACGTGACAACTCCTCTTGTGCAACCTTTTTTGCTTTCTGACTGTAATTTCCTTTGGAACTTGGCAAGGAGGACTCCCCCCTGAGGGAAATGTGTTGCCCTCAACTGACAAGGGGGGCAAGCAACTATAGGTTTATTATTAGATGTTCCCTTGAGAAGTGAAGTTTTTAAAAGTTTCAAAAAGTGTTGTTTAAATTTCTATAGCTGCAGGACACCTGTAGTTTATGTGCTAACCATGTATCTATGTTTTACGAAGCTATTTAATCTGCAATTCACTCTTTAAAAAGGCAGTCACCATAGCAACTGACATGAGAAAGTATTGTGCTGGCTTTGACATGCAGAACACTCTGTAGACAATGCCATATATAGCCTACAGAGCAGTCAGAAGCTATGAATGCCTGGTTTCAGGAAAGTGGGGCTTAACTCATTATTTTAGTCATTTTCTTCTCATTACCTTAGGGAAGTGCTGAGAATAGTGAACTATAAGAAAAGCAAAAACTGTTGAATGTTGGCTACAACGCTGCTATTGGCTGAGATGAAGGCCCTTCTTTAAAGTCTTAAGAATTTTCAAAGAAAGTCTAGTTTAAGAGGTCAAAATTTTCTTTTCAATCATTTGTTAAGAAAATTATTATTTTCCCCCCATAACCATATACAATCAGATTATTACATCAAAAATTCACAGAAACTGGAGACAAATTACTTTTGTCCAGTAGCATGCTAATGCTTTGTATATAAGAAACACATTTTCTCTCACATCAGCAAAAAAAAGTTGAAAAATGTAAAAATACTTAATGTGTATCATTGTTTTTATCAATGTGTATCATTGATTTTTTATCAACAATAAAAAATCCTGAGTATTGTTACATTTTGATGACATGAGAGTATGCGACATTATTTTTTTCTGCTGGTAGTAGGATTAGCAGGTGCCATTTAATAATACAATGTTAAACACATGTTGCAATACAATTTGATTTACAACACCAATACAATT
The DNA here is from genome assembly GCF_000001405.40 of Homo sapiens. Lineage (NCBI taxonomy): Eukaryota > Metazoa > Chordata > Mammalia > Primates > Hominidae > Homo > Homo sapiens. Next base: position 97,764,150 of record NC_000011.10, on the reverse strand, counting down.
CAACAAATATTTCCTCGTATTTTGAATCTTTGCAAAACTATTTCCTATTTTTATTTTGAAAGTGTGTTTTCATGTTGGATTTTCCTTCTTAAACCCTGCTTATTTAAATTTGTTTCTAAGATACTTCACCAACTCTATTTTGCAAAAAATTATCTTGCAAATAATTTGGAAAATATTGACTATATGGATCATAGCTGATGAAGAACTTATTTTTCAGAAACAATTAATTTAAACAGTATTTATCAACTACATTTTACTATATTTACATGATTCTTCCAGGTATTATATTATAGATACAATTTTTTTTTTTTTTTTTGAGACAGAGTCTTGCTCTGTCACCCAGGCTGGAGTGCAGGGGCGTGATCTCAGCTCACTGCAAGCTCTGCCTCCTGAGTTCACGCCACTCTCCTGCCTCAGCCTCTCGAGTAGCTGGGAGTACAGGCACCTGCCACCACACCCAGCTAATTGTTTTTTTTTTTTTTTGTATTTTTAGTAGAGACGGGGTTTCACCGTGTTAGCCAGGATGGTCTCAATCTCCTGACCTCGTGATTCACCCACCTCGGCCTCCCAAAGTGCTGGGATTGTAGGCCGGGTGCGGTGGCTCACGCCTGTAATCCCAGCACTTTGGGAGGCTGAGGTCGGTGGATCACGAGATCAGGAGATCGAGACCATCCTGGGTAACGCGGTGAAACTCCATCTCTACTAAAAATACAAAAAATTATCCGGGCGTGGTGGCAGGTGCCTGTAGTCCCAGCTACTCGGGAGGCTGAGGCAGGAGAATGGCATGAACCCAAGACCTGGAGCTTGCAGTGAGCTGAGATTGCGCCACTGCACTCCAGCCTGGGTGACAAAGCGAGACTCCTTCTCAAAAAAAAAAAAAAAATTATGTATATGATTCCTGGCTTTAATAAACATATATTATAAAATAAGATGGCCAATAAAAGATAACTTAAATGAGAGCTAAATTATGTGATTCATGAAAGTAATTAATAACTTCACCATATGGAAAGACCAATGCAGGCTGATTGATTTCATTGTAGAAGGTGCTTCACAAAAGAAACAATGGGGCAATCAGGCAGGTGGCTCTTCTGGTAGCCCAGTAAAGAAACACTGTTGATGTGTACTAAGATATAGGAGCAGGGAATGGTGACTTAGCTGAATTCAGGATTCATTTTGAAGACAAAGCTAACAAGCTTTCTTGATAGAATACTGAGAGTGATCCAGGGTAACTTCTGGGTTTTGACCTAAGTATCTGGATGAATGGGAAGACAGAAGGAGCACAGTCAGCAGCACTGAAAGTAATCACAAATTTGGACTTGGGGTTGAAAACCCATTTTCTTTGGTGAAGCATCTAGGCACAATTCCCTTGTGCTAGGGGAAGGAAAAAAGTCTTTGCAGTGATTATGAACATTTTTGATTTGTTTCAGAAATTATGTCATTGTTGACCAACCTCACCAGGATACAATACCATATGTGGTATTAAGAATAATATGTTTTAGAAACATTAATTTCAATTTAATATATGTGTCAATATTTATAATTTATCAAAGCCAGAGACCAGTCTTATTATTTATCTTTGCTGCAAATGCCTAATACCCTTAATGGCAAGTGCCTAATAAATGCTGATTAATAAGTTGCAGTTCAAAACACAGACTCTTTTCTAGGTATAAAATATCGTATTAATCAATGTTTCATTATTTTCTCAAACAATCATTCACTGTTTCTTTAATCCATACTCTTTCTCTGTAAACCCTGAACTGACTGTAAGGCCTGGAAAATAGTTAAAATGTATTTTATATTCAAAAACTTTCCCAGTACACTATTAAGTTGATAAAACCTGCTCATAAGCACATGATCAATGAAAAAGACTCATATATTGGGAAAGAAAATCATATCTGAAACAATTATAAAGCCTTTTTTGTGGGATCAGGCATATAAATGGCTAAGGCCATACAAAAGTGAACTTTGGAGACTGTGTCTTATACTGATATCAGCATGTGAAACTCAGCAGGGAGACTGAATTTTGAGCACTAACCAGGTTAATCTACAGAATAAACACCTTAGCTCTCAAATCTAAGGCAGTTTTTCCACCTTTAATGTCATCTCTGTCTATAAACCATATAGTTCACATAAGGATTCTGTTCTTTCTGATTAAGAGAAGGAGGAAATTCTGCCAGCTAACTCAATATCTTACCAGTGGAAAAAAAATCGAAAATTGTAAATAATAGTAGCAATTTTTCTAGGACTCATGAAATGCATTGAAAGAGCAAGCATGATTCTCTCTAGGGCTGGGAAATTTAACTTTCATCCTAGACAGCTCATTCTGATACTTCCAAGGTTTTTAAGAGCAGGAATAAAACAACAACAATATATTTTATTGCATTTTTCTGCAATGGTATTTCAAGTTCCGTAAGTAACTGCAACAATTACTAACCTTTGGCACTTCTACCTATATTATCTATTTTATAGTCTCATATTTGTGAAGTACATATAACATTGCATGGCACATAGAGCATCATATAAGCATTATACACATAAAGCATCATATTCAAGTTTTTAAAATAAATAAACATCATATTATAAATGCAGGAGCATAATTTCTGCATGTTTCTTTAAGTTTAATAACCAGTGTCATTGCACCCGTTTAGATCATTCAGCTCCATAAACAATGGTGTGCTGGCAAACTTTAATAACCAGCTCTCCAAAGTGGGGGATGGAAAAAGCCTGATTTATAATGTTTGACGATTTCTGTGGTGTAAGTATTTCAATGACAGATTAATATGACATCATCAGATACAGTAGTTTTCAGAAGAATATAATCAGTTCTTATAAGAAAGTACAAGTTGACTCAGAGACACCATTTATAACTACTTGTGTATGTGATAGTCACTATTGTTATTTTTACAAGTTAAAAATTAAAAAAAAGCTAAAATACCTTTTTCATTATATATTTTTCAATGATTTTGCCCAAATCTAGATCTTCTTTCTCTATCATTTATTTTATATATGCCCAATTATACTTCTTAATTCTTATTCTAGGTTATTGTCAGCATTGGCCTAGAACTAGACTGGTAAATGTGGTCCACACATTATTATTCCCCAAACCCCACCGTATCTTTCTGTGCATTACTTTACATAATTGTAATCTTTCCTGCTCAGGCTTAAAACAAATTCATCATACATCCTAACACATCACTCTGGGAAGCCATTTCAGTTAATTGTAGTTTACCAAATGGTTATCACAGTCTATCAATCTCTTTACTTCCAACTTTGATCGTCTACTATTAGTTAGTAACAGTGACTGGCATTTATTAAATCTTTGCCATGTGCAAAACAGTACTTTAATTTACATATAAGTCATTTAATCCACCTAATAATATTAAATAAATTCTATTTTAAAATCTATTATTACAGATAATGAAATCAAGAAACAGAGTTTAAGTAAATTTCTCTGGGTAATGTGTGTCATAAATGTGGTCAAACTTTCTGGAGTCCACACCAGAAAGCTGGACTCTCTTATTTCACTTTCAAGTCAAGATTACCGTTTCTTTACACAATTTTTCTAGAGACCTTTAACAATCCCATTTCCACAATCCTCCTGAAGTCCCTGTCTTCATTGGTCTTTTCAAACACATTTGTTCAGATTATTATAATACATTTTTTCTTATTTCGACGTTGAGCACATCTCAACGTTATATTTCACTTTTAGGTTGTCCAACCCAAGACCATAAAATCATATGCCGTCCTTATTCATGCAGATTTTGAATTCTAAGCACCAAATTGAAGCCTTTCTAAAGTAGTCACAATGAAGCTAGACTGGCTGTTTATTTTCTTCATGCCTCATCAGATTCAGTTGATCTTCTGTTCTCTAGGAATGTTGTAAATTTTGTACTCCTTTTCTAAAGCTTAATTTATATTTATTCTATATTTCAAAGCGACATATACACCTTCATTCCTATGTTTTTTAACTTCAAAGAGTTGTATTTTCTTCATTATCATTTATATAAATATAATTATAAACACCTAGAGAGGCATTTGAATGTAAGTATATAACACATGATTTCTTCTGCTGAAGAACAAGTATATGATACAGGCAGAGAAGAAAAATAACAAATTCAGAAAAGTTAGAGAATAACAGTGAATTCAAAAGTGTTGTGTGGTACAATAGTTTTAGCTAATCTTGAAGAATTTATAGAGCATCTATTTAAATTCTTTTTAACTATTCATGACTCTAAAATGTAAGCAATGTTTTAAGAACACAAGACACCTAAAATAAAACAAACCCTTTTATGTAAGTATAACATATACCAGAGAAAAGATAAAAATTCTCTCTCTCTTCTTCTACAGCCTTACCATTGAGTTCTTTATCACCCGTTTTAAAGCCTTATTATCTTTAAGAATTTTTTTCTCTGAATAGGTACTACTGACATTATATGTGATATTAATGATCCATATAAGGAGATTAATATTTCCTTATAGACCCCATTTTATTGTTGCCCAATTTTATTGTTTGGGTTATTCCTTTTGAGGAAATCATCAGAGTCCTGAATGGGTCCTAGAAGATTATCTGAAAAGAGCAAGCTGTTCACCAGAACAAATGGCTGCCCATTTTCAGGGCTCTCATCCCACCACTTACCCCCTCCTTTTGCTCATCTGAAATGGAACCTCCTGGGTGCTCAGTCTACTCCCCGGTGATTACAACACAAGTGGGGTCTTTGCACTGATTGGCTTATTTTCTCCTACATGCTAGAATATTACTATTATAAGCACCAGTAACCCTAATGTTTTTCTGAAAGAGACACATATTTAATTACAGGAAGAAAATTGGCTAGCAAAGGCATTTAAAGCAGTAAGACTCTACCTTCAAGTCATGGTTAAATTTTAAAATAAAATAAAATTTTAAAATAAAATGTACACTGTATCTGAACTAAATATTGTCAGAATGTAATTTATTTCTCTCATAGAGAAATAATTTATGAGGAGAGTGTCATAACACATAGTGTAGGAAAATCATAAGAAATAAAATAATAATCTACTTTTTCTTGCTTCATCCTCCAATATTATAACAGGATTATTATATATGCAATGAACTATTGGACAAAGGATACATCCCAGTGGTTTAGAATAGTTTAGTTGTGGTTGTAAGCTTTATATTGTACATTTTTAACTGGTCACAGTCCACCTTCACTTAATGCTCTATCAATTTACACATAGTTTAAGAAATTTACAAGCATATGCTTGCATTTCCCCTCCTTCAGGTTTGGTACTATTGTCAAACATTTCACTTTTGCAGTGTTATAGATCCTCAATATAGTGTTATGATTTTTGCTTTAAATTGTGAATTATTTACTCACAATTCAAAGTTCACAGTTATTGACATTTCAGAGTTACTTTGAAGCTTTTTTATCTTTTTGAGAAATTTATTTAAAATATTTTAGGAAGGACCAGAGCAACATTTGGTCTAACTCTAATTTTTATTCACTACTGAGGTTAAAGCCATCTGTATACTCTGATCACCTGTGTATTACAGGTCTTTTCTACTTTGATTATTATTTATTCACAATTTAAAGATGGAAAAATGGTAGATGAAAAAGTTAAATTATGTTATTTTCCCACATATTTGCCATTTTGACTGCTTTTTACTCTTTGCGAATATCCAATTGTCTATCTGCCATCACTTTCCTTATGCTTAAAAGATATTGCTTACCATTTACTATAATGCAGATATACCAGATACCACTGATAAATTATTTCTGCTTTTGTGTATCTGAAAAATTATTTTGCCTCCATTTTTAAACATATATTTTTGCAGGAAAGAGAATTCTAGGCTTACATATTATTTTTTCTTCTTCCAATACTTTAAATATGTGGTTTCACTCTTTCCTGAACTGCATGGATTCTGAGAAGACATCTGCTGCTATTCTTGTTATTGTTCCTTTGTAGGTAACATGCTGTTTTTTTTTCCTCTGGCTGCTCTTAATTTTCTCTTTATTATTGGTTTTAAGCAATTTAATTATGATGTATTCTACTGTGGTTTTCTCACGTTACTTTTGCTTGGGGCTTGTTGAGCTTTTTGAACTTGCAGGTTTATAGTTTATTACATTTGAAATATTTTCAGGAAATACTTCCTAAATATTTTTTCACTTTCTTTTTCTTTCTCTTTACCATCTTTCAGTTACTCCAGTTACACTTGTATTAGGCCCAGAGCTAATTACTGTTGTGTTTTTGTTGTGTCTCTTTATTCTTCTGTGTTACATTTAAAATAGTTTCTGCTTCTGTATTTTCAAGTTCATTAATCCTTTGTTTTTCTGTATTTAATCTAACTTTTAAAAATGCAAGCCCCTGATTTTTATATCAGATATTATTTAAAGTTTCTCAAACTCTGAATTCGAGATACAAAAAATATCTTTCATATGTCTACTTAATATGTTCTAGTGTCCCTCTATCTTCTTGAAGCTCTGTAACATAATTATAATAAATGTTAATATCTTTTGTACTGATTGTATCATCTGTATTATTTCGGGTTGGATTCACTTGATTTCTTTCTCTCTTTTTAAGTTGTATTACCTACTTATTTGAAGGAGTGGTAATTTTTTATTTTGCAGGCCAAACACCAGAAATTGTATCTTTTTGATGCTGGATATATTTATATTATTTTAAATATTTTGGAGCTTTTTTTCCTTGTATGTTAAGGTACTTTGAAACATTTATATCTTTTGGAGGTACTTATTTACCTCCCAAAGATAAATGAATGGTAAAGGTTTTTAGGTGGGACCAGGGCGACATTTGGTCTAATCCTAATTGTGATTGACTACTGAGAAGATAACCATCTGAATACTCTGATGACCTGTGTATTGCAAGACATTTCCACTTTGATTACTGGGAAAAATAAATTGTCCTGTTTGTGCCACAATAATTGTTCTATGCATTCTTTCAGATGGTGTTTACCAAACACGTGTTGGTACATGTAATTCTCATCACTTTGTAATTCTGGTCATAATCCCTTACATGTCAGGTAAATTTTTTGGATGTCTTTCTTCTGACTAGTTTACTGATAAAGTTAGATTCCTCTGTCAGGGACCACCATCTCAGAAGTTTTAACTTCCAGATACATGAGTAAGAAAGAGAATTCATCAATGATATCTCTGAAAATAATAGGGGTCAAAACTCGAATTAACATAATATCATATTTAGTTGCACCAATTAGCTAACGCCTGTCACATGACCTGGGCGTAACTGCAAAGGAACCTGGAACATAACTTCATGTGTACCCAGGAAAAGGAAACAGAATTGGGAGTACTTAGCCAATGCCTGCCACAGGCTCATGTAGATGACAGGCTTTGTTGGAATAGATGTGGGTCCTATAAAGTAGGAGGAAAGAGGGAATATGGAAACAAAATGACTCAGGGCTTTGAAATTCACACAGAAACCTTTGTGGTAGAGTAACCTATATGGAACCACTTTAGGTTCATTTATAAAAGCAATGGTTATTATTAAAAATAGGCTTGGAAAGATTCATATTATAAAAATATGTGATTAATGATAGAGGAAAAAATGAAGTAAGCCTAAGTTTGATTTTTTTGTATATGTTGGTACAAAGTGACTAGGTCATTAATCAGTGCATTTGATGACTCAAAAGTCATGAAAAAAGAGAGTCAAAGAGAATTTCTAAGGGAGGTGAAATAGAGCTTGGTAACAAATGTAAGATGTGTGGTAAACAGAAGGGAGTATTCAAAATAACTCCAAAGTCAACTTAATCAAAATCCTCATGGAAAACAGGGGCCATGTATACATAGGACTTCCTGGACAAATTTAAAATATTAGAAGATTAAACCAAGTTTTATCAGTGATAAAATTAATGGTATTATACATCATACCTCAGAACCATGTGAATAGAATAATAAGGGAAGAAAAGGAGAAGTGTCACAGGTAAAATGAGTTTGCTATTCCATAGTAGAAAACAATTTCTTCGAAACATTTAAGGATTTCTGTATCAGTAATTTATACCGTTGTGGTGTGCTGTTGCCATGCATTTAAAAGTGTCAAACTATAAAATCATTTACACAGTAGAAAACTAGGAGAAAAATACAGTTAAAGCCTTGTATGTAACTAACTAGTCACAGGGGTGTTTAAAGTGAAATGGAAATGCTAGGATCATAAATTAGCTTTTACTTCAGTGGAAGTCCTGATAAATGTAAGGACATAATTTTTGAACATGAGTACAAATTCTTGTAAGCCACCATAACAACTCATCAATGTCCTTTCCTTAAACTTGGGAGTGGTATATATAAATACAAAGTACATGCGTGTTGGTATTAATTGAAATGTTTTCATATTATCCACAATCATCAGAAATGTGCAAAAATGCATTTATAGAAAATCATGTGAACCTACGCATGAAAATATTTGTATTTGATTTTTGTTTCCTGTAATCTACATGTAAATAGTAGTTGCCATTTTAGGGAACATGACGTCATGCTCATCTCTGTAAATGTATTTTATATATATACATTTATTATTTCCTGTAACTTAATCCATACAACTATATTTTATTTTACCACTCAGTTGGCTGACATTTGGGAAATGATTAAGAAAGGGATTTTGCTGCTGAAATATTAATTTTTGAATATGAATGAGAACCTTTATATCTTTCTCCTAATAAGGTAGGCAAAGAAGATTTAAGAAAGAAACAGTAAAAGACTGAAATCTTGTCTATTGTTTCCAAACAGAACAGTTTTTCTAACAGAAATAACCTCACTGAAAATATATTATTTTCTCAGAAGACTTGTTAAATAAATCTTCCATGCTTGAGGGATGTGATGGTTAATATTAGATGTCAACTTGATTGGACTGAAGGATGTCTAGATAGCTGGTAAAGTATTGTTTCTGGGTGTGTCTGTGAGGGTGTTTCCAGAGGAGACTGACATCTGAGTCAGTGGACTGAGAGAGCAAGACGCACCCTCTCTGTGGGTGAGCAGCATCCAATTGGCTGCCAGTGCAACTAGTACAAAGCAGGGGGGAAGAATGTGGGATAAGCTGGCTTGCTGAGTCTTCTGGCTTTCATCTTTATTCCATGTCTGATGCTTCCTTCTGTTCCTCCTGTCCTTGGACATCAGACTCCAGGTTCTTTGCCACTGGACTCTCGGACTTAACCAGTCGTTTGCCAGGGGTCTGTCAAGGCTTTGGCCACAGACTGAAGGCTGCACTGTTGGCTTCCTTACTTTTGAGGCTTTTGGACTTGTACTAAGCCACTATTAACTTCTTTCCCAGCTTGCCAATGGCCTATCATGGGACTTCACCTTGTGATCTGTGAGCCAATTTTCCCTAATAAAATCCCTTTCATATACACATATATCCTATTAGTTCTGACCCTCTAGAGAACCCTAATACAAGGGAGAAGAAAGAGAAATGATCTAGACCCAAGTTTTTAAGTGAAGTAAAAAGATGTAATAATGGTAGAGTGAAGTTAGCGTTGGTCTTGAAGGCATATGTCACTTACCCATGTCACTGTTGCTCAGTACAGACAATGTGGCACGTAAAATCGTAAGAGTCACTAGTGATGTCTTTGGTCCTGTGGGCACTTGGCTAAACTTAACAATTATTTAAAAATCAGGTGTTTTTATGGCTGGGTGCAGTAGCTCACGCCTGTAATCCCAGCACTTTGGGAGGCGGCGGTACACAGATTGCTTGAGTCCAGGAGTTTGAGTCCAGCCTCAGCAACATGGTGAAACCCCCATCTCTACCAAAATACAAAAAAAAATTAGCCTGGCATGGTAGTGCATACCTGTAGTCCCAGCTACTTGGGAGGCTGAGGTGGGAGTATTGCTTGAATCCAGGAGGCAGAGGTGGCAGCAAGCCAAGATCATGCCATTGCACTGCAGCCTGGGTGACAGAGTGAGATTCCATATCAAAAACAAACAAAAACAAACAAAAAACACAGGTGTTTTTAGAGCTGTCATTAGACAGTCATGGCCAAGGCCAAAGAGAAAAAAAAAACTTTGAAAAATGATTGCAAAGAGAGTATAAGAAAGTGCACGATAGCAAAGCTTATTACTTATTGTAACACCGAAGAAACTAATCCCCATATAGATTAATAGAGTGTACCAAGTACAATGTGTCTGAGACAAAAGGCATATATATTTTATGATTTAGCAGAAACAAATGGGCAGATTATAAAGAGCTGAAAAAAGTATAATAGCAAAAATATGACAGTAGCAATAAGACCAACAGTTACGACTGTGCATATTAACATTTGGATTTTCTAAAGAGCTTTTTAATGAAATTCTCCTGAAAAAAATATAGAAAAGATAGCTATCTGTGTAAGAATGAATATGAGGCTGAAAATAAATTATATTCATTCAAGTGTTAGAAGTATGACCAAGACCAGAGCTGTGTCTCCAGTCAGGATGAGAAACATTTACTTATTCCTATTGTAAGAAGATTATCAGTTGAATAAGGACCACATATGTTTAATGCATCATATAATGAATTACATACATGCCTTGGTTGACATGCTCAAACACCACACACACACACACACATACGCACGCATACACAGAAACACAGTCATTCATTTGCATTAAGTCATCAGTTATTGAGGCGATACCAAGTGTTAGACATGGCACTAAGATGTAAAGCCAGGATTTAAAGATAAACGACATATGAACCCCATTCCCGAGGACTCCTGGTGATACTACTACCTTTTGTACCTTAGAGTCTGTATAGTAATTCTCTAAGTTTTATCTTGAAAACAACTTATTTCAAAGCATTACCTTATCGACTTGCTGCTAGAATAGTCTCATATCCATTGGTCAGCCTATTTCATGAATGTGAATACGGCCTAAGAAAAAGTTCCTGTATAACCTACTTTACTAAATCATTTAAAGTGAAGCCTTAAGAATCTTTCTGTCTATGTGTTATTCTGTGTTAGAAATATACAAAGAAAGATTTGCAAAGAGCTATGATTCTACCCAATGCAATGTCCATGAGATTATTATATATGTATTTTGAAAATATATAAATAAGAGGGTACTTAATTATCATAAGATATTCAAAGATCAGGCTTGATTATTAAGAAATACTACAGGGTATATTGGAGATACTGATTGCAGTGGTGGCCCATCTGGAGCAGCTGCTGTGAAGATGCTGGCTGCAGCAGGAGAGGTGTGGCCATGGCTGTGTGCTCCACAAAGCCAGTGCGGGACCGGGAATAGGCAGGAGCCCTGTCCCCTACTGAGTTGGCAGGGCAACAGCTGTAGCTGCCTAGATGTGGCTCTGAACTCAGGCATCCCTGTGTTCTCAGGGGCCCAGGAATCCCCCTTCCCCACATAGGCTTTGAAGTGCCTGCTCCCATCCCTGGCCTCTCCCTGCTCCTGGCACCTGCTTCGATTTCAGAGCAAAATTGTGGCCAAGGCCAGGTGCTGTCTCAACCTGACCAGGTGAGCAAGCACTCAGGGCAGCACTGACACACCACCCCTTGCTACCTCAGACTCCTTTGGACTTTGGGCACTGACGAGCATGGGAGGGAGGCTGAGGTGGAGGCTGAGGCAGCTTAGTGCAGGCCTGCAGGCACATCCTTGGCATGAACAGCCTGGGTGCCATGGATGGCATGTTGATGGCAGCAAGAGGCAGACAGGCTTCTAGGCAGAAAGGGGCAGATTCTCAGTGATACTCTGCCTTCAAGCCAAGGATGGCCTGAAGTCTGGGGGTTGGACTGCCAGTTCTTGGTGGAGTCCACGGCAGCATAAGAGTGAGAACTTATGGTGCTTTTTTCAAACATACCCATGACCAATTAGCATGTACCTCCTACCTTCTGAGCCCATAAAAACCCTGGACTCAGCCAGACTCAGACAGATATGAGGATGACCTGCTTGTGGAATGGAGTTACCTACTGCAGGTCTCCTCTTGGCTGAAAGCTACACAGACGTCAAGATGACCTATCTGTGGAAAGAAGCTACCCACTGTGGGCCTCCTCTCCACTGATAGTTGGATACTTGCCAGGATGACCTGCCTGCAGAAAGGAGTTACCCACTTCAGGTCTCCTGAAAGCCATGCTGTCACTCAATGAAGCTCCTCTCTGCCTTTCACACCCTCCAGTTATCCATGCATGTCATTCTTCCTGGATGTGGGACAAAAACTTGGGACCTGCCAATTGGCAAGACTGAAAGGGTTGTAACACAAACAGGCGGAAACACACCCCCCACCTCCCCTACCAACTTGCCACACTGTGGGCAATGAGAAGGAAAGAAGAGGTGCAGCCCCTCAACCTAGGGGATCCCTGAGCCAGGACTGTGGCACTCTCTTTGGGGGTCTGTGATTTGTGGCACAAACCTCCAAGCCTCTGGGTGCCACCATGTTCCCCTCATTCAGATGTGAGTGCCCACAGCAGAAGTCACTTGTGGCACATCTGATCCAGCCACAGGCTGGCATGGAACCCGCACCTGTGCTGGCACCTGAAGCTGCCTGTTCCGCTGCAGCAGCTGGCATGCCTGGCTGTGCACAGGGGCCGGATCCCATGCTCACTCACTGATACAATACTCGCCACTCTGCACCTGGCTTATTCTTGGCAAGCATTGGATTCAGACCAGTAGCAGGAGCCGAGTGCAGCATGCCAGACTGAGTTGGCAGAATGAGCCTAGCAGGCTGAGCAAACACTTAGGCAAAGGCATGACCAGCCACAGAGGTTTCTGGCTGGAAAAGTGACCCCTGAAGGATCCCATGACTATGACACCTAAACATAAAGTTATTTTAATTATATAAATGATGTAGATAATTTATTACAGAGAATAACAGATTAAAATACTAAATGTATATTTTTATTATGTTAGTGTCCATTATTTATACACAAAGTGAATAGTCCAGCTCTTCACAAAACAATGGTCAATGGCAATTTAAAATTAAGATTAAGATTATAAAAGATGAAAGTCTGAAATAAGAGGGAAATATTGAAACCATATTCCAAGAAAGATATGTCTCTTTTCTCATCAGGAAAGACATAAGGGTAATTTTGAAGAAGAAATATAAATTCTTCCAGTAATTATTAGTGTCACTAGTGTTCTGTTTTTACTCTATATAAAAGCACATAGTATATAGAACTTGTCAGAATGAAAGGAGACACAGAATAGCAGCAAACCAAAAATTTACCTGTAGTACTTTTCTTGATACCTAATAGTTTAAGAAACACTTGAGCTGAAAATGAATTCCAGTTATTTGAATTAAGGTTTGGTTAAATATATCCCAAACACTTATCTGAATCTGGACACAATTTTCATGGTTTTTAAAATGTTTCTCAGATGGAATGCCTTATAATACAGGTCTGTGAGTTTTTCTGTTTATGCTTGGTGTTAGTGAGTTTACTTGACTTTTATGGTGAAAAGTCACTTAGCTTAATTTTACACTATTATACTACATAACTTTTGGAAGCACTAAACAATCCTTTATTTCTGATAAACTTCTCATGACAGACCTAAACTTATGATAGAAATATTATAAATGACGGCCAATTTAAAATTGAAGAAAATGTCAAGCATTCTTTATATTAGAGATTGTTCAACGAGATTTTCTAACTTGTTCAGAAGTGAAGGTAAAGAAAGTAAGATTTGTTCATTCTGCCCTTTCTTGCACAGTAATAGGTGTTCCTATAAAAAGATAACAGCAGGAAACCTATCCTGTGGAGCAATATCAGTCAGAACGGGAGATCCTGGAGAGTACTATGTGATGTATAAGATAATAAAATGCATCAGGGTTTAAAGGCAGAGTCAGGAAAAATATAAAATGGGAATTGATCAATCACATAGATGCTGAAATGGCTTAAGTTGCTTCCAGTAGTCTTCTTGCCCAAATACAGACCAAATAAAGAAATTGTGTTATTTTACTGAGAAGGAAAACAAAAGGCTTTTGTTTTGTGTTTGTTTTTGTTTTCAGAGGGTAGAGAGATTGACACTTATCAGGGTAGACTGTTGGCTTATAAATGCAAGTATTTCTTTTACTTCTTTATATATGCCTAATGATGCGCAATTTTGTTTGTAATTAAATGAATAATTAAATCTTACAATTCAGAATATACTGGCTAAAAAAGGAGGATGGTTGATAATCGGAAGAAAACTGATGGATAGCAATGGTGGTTTATGTAATATAGCAGAGAATAGGATTTTTTTCTATAATGTTCATGGGGTTTTCTTGGCACAATGATGAGGCTTAGCTTAGATGTGGTCAGTGACAGCAAATATTAATTTACCAATCTCCACTACATTTACGTGAGGCCACATGTCTATGTTCCAGCTGATAGAATATCCTCAGAAACATGAAATATCAGATTTTCGGAAATGTACTTAAGAGAGATGGGATGCATGTTCTTTGCTCACTTTTTAACCCTGTTTCATGCATTTTGCTGTTTGGATCATGAATATGATGATAAGAGATCCTTAATAGATGATGAAGACCAGGATTAACTTATTCCTAAAAAGCTGCATGAAGATTGGGTCCCTGGATTTGAGTCTCCATCCTTGCCCTGATCACTTAGCTCTAGAATCTGTTCATGAAAGAGAGAGAAAACGTATTGCATCTTATTTCAAACACGTTTTCCCCTTTGGATTAAATATTATTCTAACTGAAGCAGAATTGAGCACCTGGAAATGGTGTATTTTTTTTTATAGCTTTTAGCAAAGTCCCAAAAAGAGAGAAAAACTCAGGTTATTACCAGTTCATCTGAAAACACAGGTGGAAGGGATTATAGCTTTGCCAAGGAAGAGTTTTTCTTCTCTGCTGCCTGCAGTCTAAGCTGAGAGAGTCTAAACAAATTGGAATCTTAGAGGACTGAAAAAGCTCATCGCTTGGATTCCAAAATGAAGCACATATAAAAGCAATAACAATGAAGAAGTTGAGGCTATTTCCCCCATTTTTTTCAATAAATTATCACTAATATCTCTCTGTCAATTAGAGGAAGATGAGTCCAGCAGCAAATATCAGGCTAAGGCTATTACCTTATCACTGATGCCAAGAGGAAAAATAAAACAAATATAAAGTTTAAAATTAGGATCTAAGCAAGATCTTTCATTGTGGTTACTTGCAGCTCTGCCTTTTAAGATTTGGGGAGGATTATATTGCCAAAGAAACCATAGGCCTGGTTGAAAAAAGCCTGCATTCAAATCCTTAATACAACTCTTGGAGTCTCAAATTTACACCAGTAGTAAGGAGACTGTAAAAGCTTCTAATATTCCAGAAGTGTGTGTTTTCAATGATAACTTCAGTTTTAGCTATGGATGATAAAAAGACCCGGAATACCCCCTCCCTAACCCCTAAGAAAAGAGGATCAGGATCAACGGCAGACAATGAACAAGACTGTTTTTCCCACAGAGTTAGGATGAATTGTTTTTCCCACAGAAGCTTCTGGATGAACTAACAAAATAAACTGCACTACTACAAAACAGATATTTCTATTTCTGTCCAACAGGATGTGAAAATATTTGGAGACCAGTGATTGACAGGTGTTGATTTTCTTCCAGGAAAAAGTCTTCATTGTAGTTATCATGTTCTACTTTTACCCATCACATACTGGTTATGATGAGTGTGGTGGAAGGCAGATTTCTTGTCCTTTAGTTTAGGAATCTCTGCATCATGAGAAGCTACTTTCACACCTAGTAGAGAAAAATGTGATACCAGAACTCTGAACTTTGAGCAAGAGGCAGAAACTGGATGAACCTCTTTTGGTGTTTCTTTTCTCCTAAATTACTGAGCAGGCTGTATGTGTTCATAGAATGGCACACATCACTATTTGAGTAGCCAAAGGGTGTAATTTTGGAAAAATGTTATACTATCATATCTGTTCTTTACATCTTCCATATTAATAGAAAGTTTATATGTTTACAGGTCATGTGACATGATTCTTTTGTCATCGTATACATGCAAAATTTAAAAAGTACAAAAATTTAGGTTAAAGTTCACTCATTGAAACATTTGTATTATTGAAAATCATACAATTGAAATGTATGAAATTGAAATAATTTCATACATTTAATACAGATAATTGAAAAATCATTCATACATTGAAATACTAAGCCAAGAGTTAAAGTTGTGATGAATATTACAATTTACTATGTTATGCACCGTATTTTCAGATCATTACAAAAGTCTGCAATATACTCTTAAATAAGAAGAGTAAGTCATAAAACAGTATGTGCAGCATGACTTTTTTTATTCAAATATGTAGATGCATATTTGATATAAATTTAGTACCAGCTCAAAAAGAGATATTAAATTAAGGGCTTTCTAAACATTATCTCATTTATGTATGATAGTAATGTTATCACCAATTTGAAGCTACAGACAATGACACCCAAAGACTTAAGTTTTGTGCACAAATTCACAAGGTCACCCAGTTAGTGGCAGAGCTGACACTGAAACTGAAGTATATTTAATGAGAAAGTTTGTGCTTTAAAACAACCTGGGTACAAGGATATAAACATTATTAGCACATAAATAACAAAAAAGTAAATCACTAAAAATATACAGCAGAATGTTTGTTTGTGGAATAATTTATCCACTAAATTGGTCAGTATATCATCAGGTTCTGAATTAAAGCCTTAAAACCAATTTTCCCTATTCTACACTCACTTCAACCCCAGTTTCTCCAGAAAGTTAATAATTGCAAGAAGTACTAGAAATAGGCATAGATACATTGGGGTAGAGAGAGGAGAAGATAGAGGTTTATGCAGGTAAACTTAGATTCTGTCTGTCAAAATAGTTTATTTATTTATCTTCCATATATTAAAATGTCTGCAACGTTACTTTGAAATTAGTTAAAAAAAAAAAACAAGCAAACAAAAAAAAAAACCCCAAAACAGAAGTACAATTGCCCAAAAGAAAGTGGCTGTAGATGATAAAACAAATATTTGATTTTGTTTAAAACAGAAGCTATACTTAAGGTGGGTTTTCTTGTTTTAATTTTTCTGCTGGGAAGGTTTTTGTCAAAAGAATCTGTGAAAAGGCACAGGTGTTCACCAGGATTTTGTATGTCCCTGGCTCATTTCATTTACCATTTTACACAGCAAATGAAAGCTCAGGCAGTCCAGCCCAGTTTTGCAGAAATTAAACAGGAAGGGCTGACTTTAATTGCTTTGCAAGTCTGCTGTTATTGAATGACTTGCATAGATGGGTTTGAAATTTATTGGCAAGCAGCTTAATTGTCAGAGCTTAATCTCCAGTTAGCAGTTTTCTCTGATTTTGCTCTGCATTCAGTGGGATCCCTCTGCTGAGATAAAAATGCACAGAAATCCCCATTCTCTGTCTTTTCTAGGCAAAGAATGTCCCCCGTGCCAAACCTATTTCAATATAATAGAAATGGCATTACAAATCACTAAACTCGTTTAACCTAGGACATTGTGTGCTTGTCTCTTTAGAATGATTTTTCAGTCACTTTTTACTCTATTTGGCATAAGAAAAGAGCACTGAGACTCATATGTTCAAACAGTCACATAGCAGGAGTGAGGCTGCTGAGAAAAGGTAACAGCCAGGAAAATATTTTGAAGAAAACAACGATGCACCTCTAGGAATATTCCACAGAATTGATACACCAAGGGATAAAAATCAACATCCAGTAACCCACCTTCCAACTAAATTTTCTACCTATGTATGCTATGTTGTTTTGATGTAGAGTTTTTTTTTAAAAGAGAAGTCTGTAAAGAAAATGAATACAAAGTGCATCTAGGAAATTATAAGAAACAGAAAGGTAGAATCAATGCAAACAGATTTTTTTTTAATTGGGCTACCCCGCCACATAGTAAGAGCCATTAATTTGTGAACAAAATGAAATAATGAATAATGAAGAAAAAGTCAGTAATCTCTGATTATCTCTCAGGTAGCCCCTCTCCTTTAAATTGATGCTGGCAATCAGTCGTCCCATTTACAGTATCTCTTTCAACATCTCAAAGCAAGAACCAAATGTCATATTTATAAAACCTATCTACCTCATATTGAGAGGTGACAGCGTGCTGGCAGCCCTCTCAGCCCTGGCTCGCTCTCGGTGCCTCCTCGGCCTCAGTACCCATTCTGGCCACGCTGGAGGAGCCCTTCGGCCCACTGCTGCACCGTGGGAGCCCTTCTCTGGGCTGGCTGAGGCCGGAGATGGCTCTCTCGGCTTGCAGGGAGGTGTGGAGGGAGAGGCAACGGTGGAACTGGGGCTGTCTGCCGCGTTTGCGGGCCAGGTAGAGTTCCAGGTGGGCGTGAGCTTGGCGGCCCCGCACTCAGAGCGCCAGCTGGCCCTGCCGGCCCCGGGCAGTGAGGGGCTTAGCACCCAGGCCAGCATCTGCGGAGGGTGCGCCGGGTCCCCCAGCAGTGCTGGCCCACCAGCGCTGCGCTCGATTTCTCGCCGGGCCTTAGCTGCCTCCCCACGGGGCAGGGCTCCGGACCTGCAGCCCTCCATGCCTGAGTCTCCCCCTGCCTCCGCGGTGGGCTCTGGTGCAGCCTGAGCCTCCCCGACGAGCGCTGCCCCCTGCTCCGCTGCGCCTAGTCCCATGGACCGCCCAAGGGCTGAGGAGTGCCGGTGCATGGCACTGCACTGGCGGGCAGCTCCACCTGTGGCCCTGGTGGGAGATCCACTGGGTGAGGCCAGCTGGGCTCCTGAGTCTAGTGGGGACTTAGAGAACCTTTGTGTCTAGCTAAGGGATTGTGAGTGCACCAATCAGCACTCTGTGTCTAGCTCAAGGTTTGTGAACACACCAATCAGCACCCTGTGTCTAGCTCAGGGTTTGTGGAATGCACCAATTGACACTCTGTATCTACCTAATCTGGTGGGGACTTGGAGAATCTTTATGTCTAGCTAAGGGATTGTGAATACACCAATCAGCACTCTGTATCTAGCTCAAGGTTTGTAAACACACCAATCAGCACCCTGGGTCTAGCTTGGGGTTTGTGGATGCACCAATCAGCACTCTGTATGTAGCTAATCTGGTGGGGACTTGGAGAATCTTTATGTCTAGCTAAGGGATTGTGAATGCACCAGTCGGCACTCTGTATCTAGCTCAAGGTTTGTAAATGCACCAATCAGCACTCTGTGTCTAGCTCATGGTTTGTAAATACACCAGTCGACACTCTGTATCTAGCTAATCTAGTGGGGACGTGGAGAACTTTTATGTCTAGCTCAGGGATTGTAAATGAACCAATCAGCACTCTGTCAAAACAGACCAATCAGCTCTCTCTGTAAAACAGACCAATCAGCTCTCAGTAAAATGGACCAATCAGCAGGATGTGGGTGGGGCCAGATAAGAGAATAAAAGCAGGCTGCCTGAGCCAGCAGTAGCAACCTGCTGGGGTCCCCTTCCACGTTGTGGAAGCTTTGTTCTTTCACTCTAAATCTTGCTACTGGTCACTCTTTGTGTCCACACTGCTTTTATGAACAGTAACACCGCTAAGGTCTTCAGCTTCACTCCTGAAGCCAGCGAGACCACGAACCCACTGGGAGGAACAAACAACTCCAGACAGCCGCCTTTAGAGCTGTAATACTCACATTTCAGGTCTGCAGCTTCACTCCTGAGCCAGGAAGACCACGAACCCACCAGAAGGAAGAAACTCCAAACACATCTGAACATCAGAAGGAACAAACTCCAGACACACCGCCTTTAAGAACTGTAACACTCACGGCAAGGGCCTGTGGCTTCATTCTTGAAGTCAGTGAGACCAAGAACCCAATTCCGGACACAATATTATGACTATTACAAATAATCTCTGAAATCTCAAATAAAAAATTTGAGTGGCCTAGAGTTCTAGAGTAGCTGGCCCAGTGTAAATTAATTCAAGAAAGTAAAAACATACACATAAGTTTTTAAACATCACAAAATAAAAAAGAAAATGAGAATGAGGTAGCTGGATCTTAGATTGTTCAGTCCACTGATCAGAATATTTTGCACACTATGGGTTAAATAATTAGGGCCTTTATTCTTGTGGTCCTCCTTTTTCCTTCTAAATATCCTTTCCCTATATAGCTTCTTGGTTGCTCAAAGGTTTTTCTTCTAATTCTGTCTTTTCATTTCATATCCTAGCAATACTTTCTCTCCCTTGTCCCCTAGTAATTACCACTTATACAGGCTGCCTCTTGCTAGTACTGGTAGTATGAAGTCTTTAAGTTAGAATGATTAATTATTAAACTTTAACAGTCTATTAAAACTCAAGACCAAAGATGGGCACAGTGGCTCATGCCTGAAGTCCTAGCACTTTGGATGGCCAAGGTGGGTGGATCTCTTGAGCCCAGGAATAGGAGTTCAAGACCAGACTGGCAACACAGCAAAACCCTGTCTCTACCAAAAAAAATTTGCAAAAATTATCACGCCATAGCCTGGGCAACAGAGGAAACTCAAAAAACAAACAAAACAACAACAAAAAAAACCAAGGCTACATTAAAGTAGGTTTTAGAAATGCTTGTTCCCCAGTACCACAAAGAAATAGCACTCAAACATGAATTTAATTCTCCCAGCAAGGCAATCTTTACTTTTTTCAGAAAGGGTGTTCATCGCAGATGGAACAATGGCAAGAGCACATCTTAACAAAGGTAAAGCATACATATTTATCCCTTATGCATTTGGGTCATCCTTACTGATGTGTTGTGCATCCATTGGCTGGAGCCAGACCTCACAGTCTAAACTGATACCGGATTTGCTAACAACCTAAAACTTTCCTAAATAGGTAAGTGCAAGGGAAAACAAAGAAGAAGAGGAAGTTGCTTATGAAAGGTTTAAGGAAGCAAGAACATTTCCAAATAAGGAAGGGGCATAAGGTATGAGCTAAGAGTTGCCTGGGCCTGTCTAGACATGCCTGAGTAAGCCAAAGCAACTAATTGGGCTAAAGTGTAAGAACTAACAGTCGATAGGAGGCTTTAGAGTAAGAAGCTATAATTGCTAGTGTCTATTATTTTTAAACTAAAACAAACTTTGAAGAGGAACTTTTCTATTTTCTACAGTAGGAATTTTCAGAAGGCTAACACTGTTTTATATTAAGAAATAACCTAACTAGGAATGACTTCTAGCTTTTGATGTTACTAGAGCTACCAGAAAAAAGAAAAAAAAAGAAAGGGGGAAAAATAAAGACAGAAAGAAGGAAAAAGAAGCAAGAAAAAACGGGAGAGAGGAAGAAAGAGATAAAGGCAGGCAGGGAGAGAGGAAGGAAGGAAATGAGATATGTGAAACTATTCACTGCAATATTGTTTATAGTATTATACTATTGCAACAGAAATATCCAGAGTACTGGTTGATGATGTCATAGCACATGTAACAAAGTGATACAGAGTTATGAGAAAGGTTTTATTGCCATATTATGATAATAAGTGATCTCCATATATTGTTAAGTTTAAAAAATTGTATTCACAAGAGTTTATGTTACGCTCCCTTATGTCATACAAGGGAGGAAAGAAACGTGTATGCACATATTTAAATTTAAAACTAAAAGATATGTTGGCCGGGTGCGGTGGCTCATGTCTGTAATCCCAGCATTTTGGGAGGCTGAGGTGGGCGATCACTTGAGGTCAGGTGTTTGAGACCAGCCTGGCCAGCGAAACCCCGTCTCTACTAAAAACACAAAAATTACCCAGGCGTGGTGGCAGGTTTCTGTGATCCCAGCTACTCAGGAGGCTGAGAAAGGAGAATCATTTGAACCCAGGAGGCGTAGGTTGCAGTGAGCCGAGATTGCACCACTACACTTTAGTTCAGGCTGGGCAATAGAGTGAGACTCCATCTCCAAAAAAAAAAAAAAATGTTATTCTATCAGTAAAGAGGGATTAGGAAAAAGGACACAAATAAAAAGAATGTGCGTGTGCATATTCACATTATTTCAATTTTCTAATATTGGTATGTCTTTTAAATAGTTAAAAAGCATAAACTTAACTCTAAAGAATGACAAAATTGCCAACTCTAAAGACTAAAAAGTCACAAAATGAGACAAATTTAACTGCATGTCAAGTTAAAGGCATAACCTCACAGATAAAATAATTACTTTAATTTTTTAAAGAATGGTTTTTTTCATTGTGGAAGACAGTGTGGCGATTCCTCAAAGATCTAGAACTAGAAATACCATTTGACCCAGCCATCCCATTACTGGATATATACCCAAAGGATTATAAATCATGCTGCTATAAAGAGACATGCACATGTATGTTTCTTGTGGCACTATTCACAACAGCAAAGACTTGGAACCAACCCAAATGTCCATCAATGATAGACTGGATTAAGAAAATGTGGCACATGTACACCATGGAATACTATGCAGCCATAAAAAAGGATGAGTTCTTGTCCTTTGCAGGGACATGGATGAAGCTGGAAACCGTTATTCTGCGCAAACTATCACAAGGACCGAAAACCAAACACTGCATGTTCTCGCTCATAGGTGGGAATTGAACAATGAGAACACTTGGACACAGGGTGGGGAACATCACATGGGGGCCTGTTATGGGGTGGGGGGGCTGGGGGAGGGATAGCATTAGGAGATATACCTAATGTAAATGATGAGTTAATGGGTGCAGCACACCAACATGGCACAAGTATACATATGTAACAAACCTGCACACTGTGCACATGTACCCTAGAACTTAAAGTATAATAATAATAAAAAAAAGAGGTTGGGTTTTTTTCTTTACATCTCTAGTGTGATAATTTAAGAATAGAAAAAGCTTGCAAATGAATGATAGGCTATGTCTGGTAATTTTACTGTTGAAGAACAATTTGAAAATGTTATAAAATTAGTCTTAACACTGGTATTTTTATTTCATTTCTATTAGAGTGATACTAAAAGAAAATATAAATTATTACGTTGAATATTTTTAGAAATTGATCATTATCTGAGATTGACTTCAGGCATAACTATATGAAGAGTTCTGCCAACCAGCTTCCCACTATAACTGGTAAAATTTACTGAAAAAAAAAAATTCAGTCTCTGCAAATTGTCCCAAGGACAAACAACAAACAGAGAAATATCTATTTTTAAAAATCTATGAAAATTCAGTGAGAAAGGCAAGGGACTGGTATTTGCACTGAGACTACTCTCTCCTAACCCAACTCAAGGAGGTGGAGGTTCTATTCCATATTCCTGCAAGAAAGAATTATCAAAACTGTACCCCCAGCTCCCAGCCAGAAATATCTCTTTCTGAGATAAGCAAGAATTTCGCATTCTTATGATGTACCCAGTGGTCTCTTGCTGAGGCTGTGTGCTTGACAAGCATAATTAAGAGATGAGAGCTTCCTTCTGCCTAATTCCCACTCTTGGAACAGTGGCTCTACCTTGGACATGACCCACTGAGAACACTGGGGGTCTAATAGCCTTTGTCTGGCTCATGAGGTGTCTGTCAGGAATGGCCACAGGGGAGGACCTCAGGCTAATGCACTCCCCCTTCCCCACTAAGGGCTTCGCTCCAGGAGAGGTGGTAGCACTCAACATAAGCTTGCCATTCTTCCCACATCCAGCTCCAGAAATTTTGCCACAGAGAAGAAGCAGGCCATAAAACAGCTCCCAGTCTTTTCCCAATTGAACTGACTCCATTTGCAACAGAGCTTAGAAAAGTTTAAGTCTATGGGTACTAAGTGGAGGTGTGGATCAGTGGAGGTTGTGGCAAAGGACAGTTGGGAGGAAATTTGTGGATGATACAACTTAGACTGTAAGTCAATTAGTTTGCAGGAAATATCTGGGGAATAAGACAACTGGGAAAAAAACTTCCTGGAATCAGAACAAACATTGGACACTGACCCCAGAATCTACCCTGTAATAGGAGACATAATGTGATTGGGTTAATTTCTAGAGGAATTTATGTCCCAGACATTGTTAAAAACAACATAGCAATCTGGTAGTAATTAGTGGAGCTTAACAGCTGGATGTTGTCAGAGAAGGAGTGAAAGAGGGTCCTACTAGTACGAGAGTCGTCCCAGAGTGATCGTGGACATACCTAAAACTGTACCAATCTGTAGATCAACATCAGAGGCTTAACACTGTTGGAGGAGGAGAGATAAACTAAAATAATCTAGCCAGGTATTAAGTGAATGAACAAGAAAATAAAAACAACAATCCCCAGCACTGGGAGACTAAACATAGAGTTGCTGCAATATATTATCTAAATTGGCTGGTTTCCAGTAAAAAAGACTACTAGACTCCAAAAACAAACAAAAAGCAGGAAATCATGACCCATACAATGAAAACAAGAAGTAACAGCAACTGCCTGTAAGAGAGAAACCAGATGTCAGGTTTAACAGAAAAGACTTCAAAGTAGCTATTATGAATATGTTCATGGAATTAAAGAAAACTATAATTAAAATTAGAAGAAAGTGTGATGACAATGTTGTATCAAGTAGAGAATATCAATAAAGAGATAGAAATTGTGTTTTAAAAATTTAAGGCCTAGCACGGTGGCTCATGCCTGCAATCCCAGCACTTGGGGAGGCCGAGGTAGGCGGATCATTTGAGGTCAGGAGTTTGAGACCAGCCTGCTCAACATGGTGAAACCCCATCTCTACTAAAAATACAAACATTAGCCAGGCAGTAGTGACATGTGCCTGTAATCTCAACTACTCTGGAGGCTGAGGCAGGAGAATTGCTTGAACCTGGGAGGTGGAGGTTGTGGTGAGCTGAAATCGTGCCACTGCACTCCAGGCTGGGTGACAGAGTAAGACCCTGTCTCCCCCCAACAAAAAAAAATTAAATAAAAACCATGTAGCTGAATGTAGCTGAAAAGTAAAACAACTAAGAATTCATAAGAGGGACTTGGTAGTAGAATTGATAGAAGAAAAAGAAATTTTTCTTCTGTTGGCAGAAAAAATTACCAACATTGAAGATATTTCAATAGACATTATGCATATTAAAGAAATTAAAAGAATAAAAGAAAATAGACAAAGCCTCAAAGAAATGTGGAACACCATTGAGAGCATCAACACACATGTAATGAGAGTTACCAGGAGAGAAGACAAAGGAGAAGAAAAAATATTCAAACAAATAAGGATGTGGTGGTTCATATCTGTAATCCCAGCACTTTGGGAAGCTGAAGCGGGAAGACTGCTCAAGCACAGGAGTGTGAGAGCAGCCTTGGCAAGTGAGTGAGGCCTCATCTCTACAAAAAATAAGAAATTAGCTGGGCATGGTAGCATGCACCTTTAGTTCCAGCTACTGAGGAGGCTGATGTGGGAGGACTGCTTGAGCCTGGGAAGTCAAGGATGCAGTATGCTGTGAATGTACCACTGCACTCCAGCCTGGGTGAAAGTGAAACACTGTCTCAAAAAAAGGGAGGGCTGAAAAAACTCTTAGTGGAATAAATGCAAAGAGATCTACGAACAGACACATTATAGTAAAAATATTGAAAGTTAACAGCAAAAAAAAAAAAAAAAATCTTGGAAGCAACAAGAGAAAAACAATGAATCACTTACAAGGAAAACCCAATAAGGTTTAAAGCTGAATTCTTGGCAGAAAAAATTTTTTTAAAAAGATGTCAGAAGGTAGTACGATAAAATATTTTAAAAGCTAAGAGAAACAAAAAACAAACAAACATAAAATTCCTGTCAACTAAGACTCCTACATCCAACAAAGCTATCTATGAAAAATGAAGGGGAAATAAAGACTTTTCTAGAAAAATAAACACTAACAGAAATTGTTACTAGCAAATGTGTTATACAATAAATACCAAAAGAATTTCTTCTGAATGCAGGAAAGTGACCTACACAAAGAAACAGAGAGCAGAATTAACATTTGATTCAGCAAACTACTCAGCCATAAAAAGGAACAAAATGATGTCAGTTGTAGCAACCTGGATGGAACTTTTGACAATTATTCTTAGTGAAATAACTCAGGAATGGAAAACAAAACATGGTATGTTCTCACTCGTAAGTGGGAACTAAGCTATGAGGATGCAAAGGCATAAGAATGATACAATGGACTTTGGGGACTTGGGGAAAGTGTGGGAGAGGGTGAGGGATAAAAGACAACACACTGGGTACAGTGTACACTGGGTGATGGGTGCACAGAAATCTCAGAAATCACTACTAAAGAACATATTCATGTTACCAAATGCCACCGGTTCCCCAAAAACCTATTGAAATGGAAAAAAAGCAAAAATAAAGGTAATTATGTAATTATAAAACACACAAAAATACATATTTGTAAGCTTTCTTGGCAAATTGTACGAAGTTTCAAATATGTATAATAAGTAAGTTTTGAAGATTTCATGTACAACATAGTAATGATAGTAATATTATATTGTTTACTTGAAATTTGCTGAGAGTAGGCCTTAACTGTTCTCATTACACACATGAAAAATGGTAACTATATGGTAGCTTAATTGTGATAATAATTTAACAATACATGCACATATCAAAACATCACATTGTACACTTTAAATATACACAATTTTAAAAATATTTTTTTCTTCAACTTTTAAGTTCAGTGGTACATGTGCAGGATGTGTAGGTTTGTTACATAGGTAAACGTGCGCCACAGTGATTTGTTGCATAGATCATCCCATCACCTAGGTATTAAGCTCAACATCCATTAGCTATTTTCCCCGATGCTCTCCTTCCTTTCATACCCCTGACAGGTCCCAGTTTGTGTTGTTCCCCCAATGTTTATGTGTTCTTATCTTTCAGCTCACACTTATAAGGAAGGACTTATGATAATTGGTTTTCTGCTCCTGTGTTAGTTTACTGAGGATAACAGTTTTCAGCTTTATCCATGTCCCTAAAAAGGACATGATCTCATTCTTTTTTACAGCTGCATAGTATTCCATGGTGTTTGTGTACCACATTTTTTAAATCCGGTCTATCATTAATAGGCATTTAGGTTGATTCCATGTCTTTGCTATTATGAATGGTGCTGCCATGAACATATGCGTGCATGTATCTTTATAATAGAATGATTTATATTCCTTTGGGTATATACCCAGCAATGGGATTTCTCAGTCAAATGGTATTTCTGCCTTTAGGTCTTTGAGGAATCACCATGCTGTCTTCCACAATGGTTGAACTAATTTACGCTTGCACCAACAGTATAAAAGCATCTGTTTTTTCTCTGCAGCCTCACCAACATCTGTTGTTTCTTGACTCTTAATAATCACCATTCTGACTGGCATGAGATGGTATCTCATTGTGGTTTTGATTTTCATTTCTCTAATGATCAGTGATGTTGAGCATTTTTTCATGTTTCTTAATTGCATGAATGTCTTATTTTGAGAAGTGTCTGTTCATGTCCTTTGCCCACTTTTTAATGGGGTTGATTTTTCTTGTAAGTTTGTTTAAGTTCCTTGTAGAGCCTGGATATTAGATCTTTGTCAGATGGATAGATTGCAAAATTTTTCTCCCATTCTGTAGGTTATCTGTTCACTCCAATGATAGTTTCTTTTGCTGTGCAGAAGCTCTTTAGTTTAATTAGATCCCACTTGTCAATTTTGGCTTTTGTTGCTATTGCTTTTGGTGTTTTCATTATGAAATTTTTGCCCTTGCCTATGTCCTGAATGGTATTTATAGATTTGAGTTTTACATTTAAATCTTTAATCCATCTTGAGTTAATTTTTGTGTAAGGTGTAAGGTAGGGGTTCAGTTTCAACTTTCTGCATATAGCTAACCAGTTCTCCTGGCACCATTTATTAAATAGAAAGTCCATTTTTCATTGCTTGTTTTTGTGGGGTTTATCAAAGATCGGATGGTTGTAGGTGTGCAATCTTATTTCTGAGTTCTCTCTTCTGTTCCATTTGTCTACGTGTCTGTTTTTGTAGCAGTGTCATGCTAATTCGTTACTGGAGCCTTGTAGTATTATTTGAAGATGGGTAGCATGATGCCTCCAACTTTGTTCTTTTTGCTTAGAACTTTCTTGGCTATATGGGCTCTTTTATGGTTACATATAAATTAGGAAATAGTTTTTTTTTCTAATTCTGTGAAGAATGTCATGGTAGTTTAATGGGAATAGCATTGAGCCTATAAATTACTTTGTGCAGTATGGCCATTTTCACGATATTGATTCTATCCATGAACATGGAATGCTTTTCCATTTGTTTGTGTTCTCTGATTTATTTGAGAAGTGGTTTGTTCTCCTTGAAGAGGCCCTTCACTTCACTTGTTAGCTGTATTCTTAATTCTTAGGTATTTTATTCTTTTTTTTTTCTTTCTTTCTTTTTTTCTTTCTTTTTTTTTTTTTTTTTTTTTGAGAGAGAGAGTTTATTCTTGTTGCCCAGGCTGGAGTGCAGTGGCTCAATCTCAGCTCACTGCAACCTCTGCCTCCTGGGTTCAAATGATTCTCCTGCCTCAGCCTCCCAAGCAGCTGGGATTACAGTCATGCACCAGCAAGCTGGCTAATTTTGTATTTTTAGTAGAGATGGGGAGACGGGGTTTCGCCATGTTGATTAGGCTGGTCTCAAACTCCTGACCTCAGGTGATCTGCCCACCTTGGCCTCCCAAAGTGCTGGGATTACAGGCATGAGCCACCATGCCAGGCTGGTATTTTATTGTCTTTGTAGCAATTGTGAATTGGAGTTCATTCATTATTTGGCTTTGTGCTTGCCTATTTTTGGTGTGTAGGAATGCTAGCATTATTTGAACATTGATTTTGTCTACTGAGACTTTGCTGTATTTGTTTCTCAGTTTAAGAAGCTTTTGGGCTGAGACAATGGGGTTTTCTAGATATGAGAACATGTCATCTGCAAACAAAGACAATTTGACTTTTTATCTTCCTATTCAGATACAGTTTGTTTCTTTCTCTTGCTTGATTGCCCTGGACAGAACTTCCAATACTACATTAAATAGGAGTGGTGAGAGAGGGCATCCTTGTCTTGTCCTGGTTTTCAAGGGGAGTGCTTCCAGCTTTTGTCCAATTAGTATGATATATGCTGTGGGTTTGTCATATGTGGCTCCTATTATTTTGTGGTATGTTCCTCAATACCTAGTTTATTAAGAGTTTTTAACATGAAGGGATGTTGAATTTTATTGAAGGACTTTTCTGCATCTATTGAGATAATCATGTGGTTTATGGTTTATGTCTTTATTTCTGTTTATGCGGTGAATCACAGTTATTGATTTGTGTATGTTGAACCAACCTTGCATCCCAGGGATGAAGCCAAATTCACTGTGGTGGATAAGCATTTTGATGTGCTGCTGGATTCAGTTTGCCAGTATTTTATTGAGGATTTTTGCATCAATGTTCATCAGAGATACTGGTCTGAAGTTTTCTTATTTTTTGTTGTGTCTCTGCCAGGTTTTGGCATTAAGGTGATGCTGACCTCATAAGATGTGTTAGAGAGGAGTCCCTTCTTTTCAATTTTTTTGAATAATTTCAGTAGAAATGGTAGGAGGTCTTCTTTGTGCCTCTGGTAGAATTCAGCTGTGAGTCTCTCTGGTTCTGGGCTTTTATTGTTTGGTAGGCTATTTATTACTTCCTCAATTTCAGAACTTGTCATTGGTTTATTCAGGGATTCAGTTTTTTCCTGATTCCATCTTGGGAGGGTGTATGTGTCAAGGAATTTATTCATTTCTTCTAGACTTTCTAGTTTATGTGCATAGAGGTATTTGTTGGGTTCTCTGATGGTTGTTTTTTATTTCTGTGGGGTCAGTGATGATATCCCCCTTATCATTTCTGATTGTGTTTATTTGATTCTTCTCTCTTTTCTTATTTGTTTAGTTGATGGCCTATCTATTTTATTACTTTTTTCAAAAAAAAAATCATTTTCTGGATTTGTTGATTTTTTTGTAGGGTTGTTTATGTCTCTGTCTCTTTCAGTTCAGCTCTGATCGTGGTTATTTCTTATCTTCTGCTAGCTTTGGGGTTTGTTTGTTTTTGGTTCTCTAGTTCTTTCAGTTGTGATGTTAGGCTGTTAACTTGAGATCTTTCTAGTTTTTGGCTGTGGGCATTTAGTGCTATAAATTTCCTCCTAACACTGCTTTAGCTGTGTCCCAGAGATTCTGGTATGTTGTCTCTTTTATTCTCTTTAGTTTCTGCCATAATTTCATTATTTACCCAAGTCATTCAAGAGCAGGTTGTTCAATTTCCATGTAGTTATGCATTTTCAAGTGAATTTCTTAATCTTGAGTTCTAATTTTATTGTGCTGTGGTCTGATAGACTGTTATGATTTCAGTTCTTTTGCATTTGCTGAGGGGTGTTTTACTTCCCATTATGTGATCAATTTTAGAGTAACTGATGTGGGGTGATGAGAAAAATGTATATTCTGTTTTTAGGGGGTACACAGTTCTGTAGATCAGGGCTGCTTGATCCAGAGCTGAGCTCAGGTCCTGAATATCTTTATTAATTTTTTGTCTCCATGATCTGTCTAATATTGTCAGTGGGGTATAAAACCCTCCCACTATTATTGTGTGGGAGTGTAAGTCTCTTTGTAGGTCTCTAAGAACTTGCTTTATGAATTTGAGTGTTCCTATATTGGGTGCGTATATATTTAGGATATTTAGCTCCTCTTGTTGAATTGAACCCTTTACCATTATGTAATAGCCTTCTTTGTCTTTTTTTATCTTTGTTGGTTTATAGTCTGTTTTGCCAGAAACTAGGATTGCAATCCCTGCTTTTTTCTGCTTTTCATTTGCTTGGTTAATTTACTTACATCTCTTTATTTTGAGTCCATGAATGTCCTTTCATGTGAGTTGGGTCTGTTGAGGACAGCATACTGATGGGTCTTGGCTGTTTATCCAGCTTGCTATTCTGCTACTTTTAATTTGGGCATGTAGCCCAATTTACGTTTAAGGTTAGTATTCTTATGTGTGAATTTGATCCTATCATTATGATGCTAACTGGTTATTTTGCAGACTTGTTTAAATGGTTGTTTCATAGTGTCACTGGTCTGTGTACTTCAGTGTGTTTTTGTAGTGGCTGGTAATGGCTTTTCCTTTCCATATTTAGTGATTTCTTCAGGAGCTCTTGCAAGGCAATACTAGACAAATTCCCTTAGCATTTGCTTATCTGAAAAGGATCTTATTTCTCCTTTGTTTATGAAGCTTTGTTTGGTTGAATATGAAAATCTGGTTTGGAAATTCTTTTCTTCAAGAATGTTGAATATTAGCTCCCAACTTTTTCTGGTTTGTAGGGTTTCCTCTGAGAGTTCCACTGTTAGTCTGATGGACTTCCCTTTATAAGTGACCTGGCCTTTCTCTCTGGCTGCCCTTACCACTTTTCCTTTCATTTTGACCTTGGAGAATCTAATTATATGTCTGGGGGTTGATCTTCTCATGGAGTAACTTACTGGAGTTCTCTGCATTTCCTGAATTTTAATTTTGGCCAGTCTTGCTAGGTTAGGGTAGTTCTCCTGGATGATATTCTGCAGTGTGTTTTCCAACTTGGTTTTATTCTCCCCATCCCTTTCAGATACCCCAGTCAGTCATAGGTTCAGTTTTTCTACATAATCCCACATTTCTCAGAGGTTTTGTTCGTTCCTTTTTCTCTAATCTTGTCTGCCTGTCTTATTTCAGAAAAACAGTCTTCATGATCTGACACTCTTTTCTCCTCCTGGTCTATCTTGCTATTGATACTTGTGATTGTATTGTAATGTTCTTATGTTGTGTTTTTCAATGCCATCAGGTTGGTTATGTTCCTCTCTAAACTGACTATTCTGGTTACAAGCTCCTCTATTGTTTTATCATGATTCATGTAACCCAATTCTATGCATTGGGTTACAACATGCTCCTTTAGTTCAGTTAATTATTACCCACCTTTTGAAGCCAGTTTCTGTCAGTTCAGCTATCTAAGCCTCAGCCTAGCTCTGTGCCCTTGCTGGAGAGATGTTGTGGAGGAGAAGAGGCACTCTGGCTTTTTGAGTTTTCAGCATTTTTGCTTTGATCCTTTCTCATCTTTATGGGCTTATCTACCTCAATCTTTGAGGTTACTGACCTTTGAATGCGGTTTTTGTGAGGTCTTTTTTGTTAATGTTATTGCTCTTGTTGCTTTCTGTTCATCTGTTTTTCTCTGAACAGTCTGGCCACTCTTCCTTAGGGCTGCTACAGTTGGCTGGGGATCCACTCCAGATCCTGGTTGCCTCAGTTTTTCCCATACCTGGAGGTAAAGGCTACAAAACAGCAAAGATGGCAGCCTGCTCCTTTCTCTGGAAGTTCCATCCCAGGGGGGTACTACCCTGTTGCTGGCCCACCCCAAACCCTCTGAAAACTCCTGTAGGGAGGTTTCACCCAGTCAGAAGGAATGGGATCAGGGACTCATTTAAAGAAGCTGTCTGGCTGCATTTTGTTAGTGCAGATGTGCTGAATTAGGGGTGACCCTTCCTTATCCGGACTGCCTGGACTCTCCAGAGCCAGAAGGCTGGAATGGCTGAGGTGACTAAACCACAGAAGAAAAAAAATAATTAAAATAAAAGTGTTGATTGACTATAAATAAAAACTTTGTTTTGACCTTGAACAATAGTTATCATTTCCTTTAGTGCATAATTGATAGTACATATGCACAAGATTTTTCAAGAATTTGCAAATGATATAACAGTAAATGCAATTCTACTATTGAACTATCTAAGGATAGGCCAAGGTAGTGCTGCAACATTTGACAGTTACATCATTTCACTAAATGACAGTTTTTAACTTGACAGCATATGTTTAATATAGTGAAAAAATGAGGGTAAAGACAGAGGATACACTTAAAACATTTTTTTTCTTACTAGGAGTAAATCATCCCCTCCCGTTTTATCAGCTTTCTATGTTCTTTCAAAAATGTGTTGCTTTCCAGGACTAATTAATGAACCACTTAACCAGGGTCCAGATTACAATGTTCTTTCCCAAACTACTTGAATTCTTTTTACATTCAACTAGAAATGCTATCACAAGTGCCTTCAGGTGAATGGCTGGGATCTGGTAAAGCTTGGCTCAAAGTGTATTATACCATACTGCATTTTGTTACTGTAATCAGTATTAATACGCTCTCAGTATTCTTTATTTTTTAAGCATTTAATTTTGAAAGAAAATGTGTTAATGAAGTATTTTATATATTAAACACACAACCTGAAATATATAGCAGACGAATTTTGGTGATCACACCCACTTAACTAATACCCTGTTTTTTAAAAAAGAGATATATATATATTTGTGTGTGTGTGTGTATGTGTGTGTGTGTGTATATATATATATATATATTTATATATATATATATTTATATATATATATTTATTTATATATATATATATATATTTATATATATATTTAGCCAAGACCCTAAACGTCCCTTCTCATGTTCCATCTCAGAAGCTACCTTCTCAAAAGTAAAAAACATACTGATTTCTTTAATGAGAAATTCATTTGTTTCTTTTCAAATATTATATTAAGTGAATCACGTAGAATAGTCATTGCTAAATAAGATATGTTCCCTATCCTAGTACTTACATCAACCAACACACTTCGTTGTTTTCCTCAAATGTTCTTGTGTCAGAAATAACTAGCTGACTATCAAATATTTGTGATTACCTTTCGTATTGTAGAGTTATTGCTCAGAAGCAGCTAGAGTCTAGCTAAAGATTATATTATCCAATTCCCTTGTAGGGCCCTACAAGTCTTCACAAATATTATGTGAACAAAAGTGCTCTATATTACTTTTTGGCTTATGTAATTAAAACAAAGTTTAACCTTTTCCGCACTATTTTCTCTCATCCTCCAACTGGATACTATCACCTTAGGCAACTATGAGGACCATCAGTTGGTGCAACCAACAGGTGAAAGCAGAATGGATAATATCTGAATCACCTCTTAGAAAGGAGCTTTTAATTGATACAGAACACCTTTTCAACTTTCACAGTGCAAATAATAAATATATGTTTTAACAATTTTGTATTTTTGGTATCGTTTGATACAGCAATGAGTGTTAACTAATACATGTCTTTTCCTCTGATCCGTAAGCATTTTTTCACTACCCTTTTAGCAAAAACAAAAGGCCCCTTGCACATTAGAAAATGCAAATGGATGTGAGGAAGCTATGAAGTGACGTTATTCAAAACCTGTTATTAGAAGTATCATAAGGTCTGCTTTTACTGATCAAACATATTAACATAGAAAGGCTTAGCAGTTAGTTTCCCAAGGCCATTTGGCTCTTAAAGTGGAAAGTAAGGATTCTCCCAAATCAAATGCACGTGCTCTTTACCACCACAGGGTAATGCCTGATTTATCCCATTGTTTTGCAAACCCTGGGGGAAAACCCTCTTCATAAAGAGAGGCATAGAGCCATAGAAAACATTGTATTAATTTAAATTCAGCAGCTTAGATTACAGCATTTTATTTCACTTTTAATTTAACCACAGCCATAAAAGGTCTGGGTAATCTTTATCAGCATTCTGTGCTTCCAGAACATAGCTTTGTTTTGTCATTTGAGAGATGTTTTGGGGAATGGGTAACCACGTGTAATACATTTCAAATCATTATAATTGTTCTTCAATTTGGCAGTGCAGGATATGAGAAATCGCAGATATCTTGCTATGTCTTGCTGACTGGAAAACTTTGTGTAACACTCATATCTAGGATGAAGAAATGCATTGCAATACTCTGAGAAACAAAGTATTATGGATTATCTAGAGTTAGATTTCCATGGTTCATATTCAGAAAGCAAAGGAAGAAAAAATGAGCTGTGATAGGAGAGGGATAAGATGGGCTATAATATGTCTGCCAAATAGTGTTAGTCAGGTCCTTGACATTTCAAAGGCAATTACAAAGCTAGAAGTGCAACTAAAAGTACACTGTTATGAATATACGTAGACTGGTTAATTAATAACAAAACAATTTTATTTTTACCCAGAGCTGACCAACTTTTATCCCTCTTCCACAGTAATATAGGAGGAATGGGCAAAAATAAGGCAGCTACTGTTTTATGCAAAAAAAGTTCATATAAATGATTACTGTATTTTTAAAAATAGTTACAAAGAGAAATGCACAGGTTGTGATGAGATTCAGGACCATTTTGCACTCTTAACCCATAATTGCACAGCATTTGAATTTATCTCATGCTTTTTAACTTGCTACATTAATAATAATGCTGTTTATCACTTAATAATAACATTTAAATACTGTTTGAAATTGACAAAAAACTAGTGGCACATTATTTAAAAATATTTTATTGCGAAAAATGTTAAACGTTGACAAAAGTAGAGAGATATACTAAACTTGTATTCATGGCCCAGCTTCAAATATTAGTATTAATCCTTGTAAATTAGGCTTCATTTTTCTCTCTCCAAATTTGTATGTGAGTGTGCACATACACAATTGCATATATATATATATATATATATATACCCACACATAGTATGTATATGTTAATGTGTTTGTGAATATGTATGTATATGAAAATATGTGTGTGCTTTTAATAAACTAAGATGTCTCCATAACACCTGAAAATAATAACTATTTCCAATATCACTTAATTCAAATCCAAATTTCTCTGCCTTGAAACTTTTTACTGTTATTTTACTATTGTTTGCATCAGGATGCAAAGCATTCTCACAGGTTATATTCACTGTTAATGTCTCTTTCATGCTCCAACACTGCCACTTGATTATTTCATTCCAAGCCTTTTCAATGGCAGAGCTAGAAAACACATAGTATATTTTTATTTTATTATATTTTAATAATTTTGGGGGAACAAGTGGTTTTTGGTTACATGGATAAGTTCTTTAGTGGTGATTTCTGAGATTTTGGAGCACCTGTCAACTGAGTAGTGTACACTATACCTAATGTGTAGTATTTATCCCTCACCCCTCTCCCACCCTTCCTCCCAAGTCCCCAAAGTCCATTATATCATTCTTAGGCATTTGCATCCCCATAGCTTAGCTGCCACTTATAAGTGAGAACATATGATATTTGGTTTTCTATTCCTTCATTACTTCAGTTAGAATAATCTTCTCCAGCCCCATCCAGGTTGCTGCAAAGGCCATTCTTTCATTCCTTTTAAGGGCTGAGTGTGGTGTGTATATCCCATGGTGTATATATACTACATTTTTTTAATCCACTCATTGGTTAATGGGCATTTAGGCTGGTTCCATATTTTTGCAATAGTGAATTGTGCTGCTATAGACATGCATGTGCAAATGTCTTTTTTATACAATGACTTCTTTTCCTTTGGGTAGATACCTAGTAGTGGGATTGCTGGATTGAATGGTAGTTCAACTTTTAATTCCTTATCGAATCTCCATACTGTTTTCCCTAGTGGTTGTACTAGTTTACATTCCCAACAAACATTCAGGTAAATTTTATCTTCTAGAATTTTTATGGCTTCAGTGTAAAAGTGTTCTCTTTTCACCAAATCCATGCAAATATCTATTTTTTTTAATTTTTTAATTATGGCCATTTTTGCAGAAGTAAGGGGGTATTTCATTGTGGTTTTGATTTGCATTTCCCTGATAATTAGTAATATTGAGCATTTTTTCATATTTTTTTGGCCATCTGTATATTTTCTTTTGAGAATTGTCTATTTATGTCCTTAGCTCACTTTTTGATGGGATTTTTTTTCTTGTGATTTGTTTGAGTTCCTTGAAGATTCTGGATATTAGTCCTTTGTTAGATACATAGTTTGTGAATATTTTCTCCCACTCTGTGGGTTGTCTATTTACTCTGCTGATCATTTCTTTTGCTGTGCAGAAGCTTTTTAGTTTAATTAGGTCCCATCTATTTATTTTTGTTTTTGTTGCGATTTGCTTTTGGGCTCTTCATCACGAACTCTTTGCCTAAGCCAATGTCTAGATGAATTTATCCAATGTTATCTTCTAGAATTTTTATGGTTTCAGGTCTTAGATTTAAGCCTTTGATCCATTTTGAGTTGATTTTTGTATAAGGTAAGAGATGAGGATCCAGTTTCATTCTTTTACAGGTGGTTTGCCAATTATCCCAGCACCATTTATTGAACCTGGTGTCCTTTCCCCACTCTATGTTTTTGTTTGCTTTATGAAAGATCAGTTGGCTGTAAGTATTCGGCTTTATTTCTGAGTTCTCTATTCTGTTCCATTGGTCTATGTGCCTCTTTTGATACCACTACCATGTTGTTATTGTGACTATGGCCTTATAGTATAGTTTGAAATTAGGTAGTGTAATGCCTCCAGATTTGTTCTTTTTGATTAGTCTTGCTTTGTGTATACAGGCTTTCTTTTGGTTCTGTATGAATTTTTGGATTTATTTTTCTAGTTCTGTGAAGAATGATGGTGCTATTTTGATGGGAATTGCATTGAATCTGAAGATTGCTTTTGGCAGTATGGTTATTTTCACAATATTGATTCTACCCATCCATGAGCATGGGGTGTGTTTCCATTTGTTTGTCTCATCCATGATTTCTTTCAGCAGCATTTCATAGTTTTCCCTGTAGAGGTATTTTACCTCCTTGGTTAAGTATATTCCTAAGTATTTTATGTCATCTTATTTGCAGCTGTTGTAAAAAGTATTGAGTTCTTGATTTTTTTCTCAGATTGGTCATTGTTGGTGTATAGCAGTGCTACTGATTTGTGTACATTAATTTTGTAAACTGAGACTTTATTGAATTCATTTATCAGATCTAGGAGCTTTTTGGATGATTCTTCAGGGTTTTCTAGGTATATGATCAGCAAACAGCAACGGTTTGACTTCATCTTTACTAATTTGGATGCCTTTTATTTTTTTTCTGTTGTCTGATTGCTCTAGCTAGGAATTCCAGGACTATGTTGAATAGAAGTAGTGAAAGTAGGAATTCTTTTTCCAGTTCTCAGGGAGAATGATTTCAACTTTTCCCCATTTAGTATAATGTTAGCTGCGGGTTTGTCATAGATGGCTTTTATTACCTTGAAGTATGTCCCTTCTATGTCAATTTTGCTGAGGACTTGTTTTTTTTGTTTGTTTGTTTGAGACAGAGTCTCACTCTGTCACCCAGGCTGGAGTGCAGTGGTGCAATCTCAGCTCACCGGAGCCTCCACTTCCTGGGTTCAAGCGATTCTCCTGCTTCAACCTCCCAAGTAGCTGGGACTACAGGCGCATGCTACCATGCCTGGCTAATTTTTTGGATTTTCATTAGAGACAAGGTTTCACCGTGTTAGCCAGGGTGGTCTCCATCTGACCTCATAATCCACCTGCCTCGGCCTCCCAAAGTGCTTGGATTATAGGCGTGAGCCACCATGCCCAGCCTGCTGAGGGTTTTAATCATAAAGCAATGCTAGATTTTGTAAGATAACTTTTTCTGTGTCTATTGAGATGATCATATGATTTTTGTTTTTAATTCTGTTTATGTGATGTGTCATGTTTATTTACTTGCATGTCTTAAATAATCCATGCATCCATGGCATAAAACCGACTTGATCATGATGTATTATCTTTTTAATATGCTGTTGGACTCAGTTAGCTAATATTTTGTTGAGAATTTCTGAATCTATATTCAATAGGGATATTGGTCTGGAGTTCTCTTTTTGTTATGTCCTTTCTTGGTTGAGGTATTAGGGTGATACTGGCATCATAGAATGCTTTAGGGAGGATTCCCTCTTCATCTATCCTTTGGAATAGTTTCAGCAGTATTGGTACCAATTATTTGAATGCCACACAGAATTCACTTGTGAATCTATCAGGTCCTGCACTTTTTTTGCTGGCAATTTTGTTATTACTGTTTTAATTTCACTACTTATTATTGGTTAGTTCAGAGTATCTGTTTCTTCCTGATTTAATCCAGAAGGGGTGTATATTACCAGAAATTTATCTACCTTCTCTAGAGTTTCTAGTTTGTATGTATGAAGGTGTTCATTGTAGCCTTGTACGATCTTTTGCATTTCTATAGTATCGGTTGTAATGTCTCCTGTTTCATTTCTAATTGAGCGTATTAGGTTCGTCTCTCTTCTTATTTTATTAATCTCACTAATAGTCTATCAGTTTTATTTTTTGAAGAACCAGCTTTTTGTTTATCTTTTGTATTGTTTTGTTGTTTCAGTTTCATTTAGTTCTGCTCTGATCATTGTTATTTCTCTTCTTCTGCTGGGTTTGGGTTTGGTTTGTTCTTGTTCCTCTAGTTCCTTGAGGTGTGACCTTGAATTGCCTATTTGTGCTCTTTCAGACTTTTTCATGTAGGCATGTAATGCTATGAACTCTCCTCTTAGCACTGTTTTTGCTGTGTCCCAGTGGTTTTGATAAGTTGTGTCACTGTTGTTCAGTTCAAAGAATTTCTAAATTTCCATCTTGATTTCATTGTTAACCCAAAGATCATTCAAGAGCAGATTATTTAATTTTCATATATTTTAATAATTTTGAGGGTTCCTTTTGAAATTCATTTCCAGTTTTATTCCACTCTGGATTGAGAGGATACTTGATGTGATTTCCACTTTCTTAAATTTGTTGAGACATGTTGGTGGCCAACATGATCTAGCTTCTAGAATGTTCCATGTGCAGATAAAAAGTGTGCATATTCTGCAGTTGTTGGGTAGAATGTTCTGTAAATATCTTTTAAGTCTATTTGTTCTGGGGTGTAGTTTAAGTTCATTGTTTCTTTGTTGACTTTCTGTCTTGATGACCAGTCTAGTGCTGTCAGTAGACTACTGAATTCTTCCCCTCTTTTTGTGTTGCTGTCCATCTAATTTCTAAGGTCTGGTAGTAATTGTTTTGTAAATGTGGGAGCTCCAGTGTTAGGTGCATATACTTAGGTTGGTGCAAAAGTAATTGCAGTTTCTGTCATTAAAAGTCATGGCAAAAATTGCAATTGTTTTTGTACCAACCTAATATATTTAGGATTGTGATATTTTTCTGTAGGACTAATCTTTTTATTTTATTTTATTTTTTTCTGATTTTGCTTTAAGTCTGTTTTGTCTGATATAAGAATAGGCACTCCTGCTCACTTTTGGTTTCTGTTTGCATGGGATATTGTTTTCCACCTTTTTACTTTAAGTTTATGTGAGTCCTTATGTGTTAGGTGAGTTTCTTGGAGATAGCAGTTACTTAGTTGGTGGATTTTTATCCATTCTGTCATTCTGCATCTTTTAAGTGGAGAATTTAGGCCACTTGCATTCAACGTTAATATTGAGATGTGAGGTACTTTTCTATTCACCATGGTAGTTGCCTTCTAAATACCTTGTTTTTCCCATTGGATTATTGTTTTATAGGCCTTGTGACATTTACACTTTAAAGAGGTTCTATTTTGGTGTATTTTGAGGTTTTGTTTCAAGATGTAGAACTCTTTTTAGCATTACTTGTACTCCTGGCTTGGTAATGGCACATTCTCTTAGCATTTATTTGTCTGAAAAAGACTGCTTTTCCTTCCTTTATGAAGCTTAGTTTCATTAGATACAAAATTCTTGGCTGCCAAATATCTTGTTTAAAGAGGCTAAAGATTGGACCTCAATCCTTCTGGCTTATAACGTTTCTGCTGAGAAAACTGCTGTTAATGTGATAGGTTTTCTTTATTGTTTGCCTGATGCTTTTGTCTCACAGCTCTTAAGATTCTTTCCTTCACCTTGACTTTAGACTGATGACTGCGTGCTTAGGTGATGATCTTCTTGTGATGAATTTCCCAGAAATTTTTTGAGCTTTTTGTATTTGAATGTCTAGATCTATAACAAGGCCAGGGAAGTTTAGCATAATTATTTCCTCAAATAATTTTTCCAAACTTTTAGATTTCTCTTCTTCCTCAGGAATACCAATTATTCTTAGATTTGACTGCTTTACGTAATCCCAAATTAGTTGCAGGCTTTGTTATTAAAAAAAAAAGTTTATTTGTCTTGGTCTGATTGGGTTAATCTGAAAGCCTTGTCTTCAAGCTCTGATTTCTCTTTTCTACTTGTTCTAGTCTATTGTTGAAACTTTCCTGTGCATTTTGTATTTCTCTAATTGTGTCTGTTATTTCCAGAAGTTGTGACTGTTTTTCCTTCATGATATCTATTTCTCTGGAAAATTTTGCATCCATACCCTGTATATATTTTTTTTAATTTTTAGAAGTTGGTTTCACCTTCCTCTGGTATCTCTTTGAGTAGCTTAATAACAAACCTTATAAATTCTTTAGCTGGCTCAGTTGTGGCTAAGGGAGGTGGGTAGATGTAATACCGAATGGTGGGCCAACGTCCCGGCCTTGATGATGGTAGCTGGGGGAGCTCTCAAGTAGCTGTGCTAAGGTTTTATCAGGGTGAAGAGTGGGAGCTACCTCAGCTCCCTTGCCAGGTCAGCAGGAAAGCTATTCACCTCCCAGCCTCATTCCTGTCCTACTGTTTCAGCTATTCAGATCAGACAGGCACCTCTTTTCATCTATAGGAATGTTGATGTTCCAAGTAGGAGGGAATTGTGTCTCTGCCTCTCATGCAGGCCTGAATCTGGAGTGTGCTCCTCCTGTGGGGCTGCACTCACCCTGAATTGTTCCAGAAAGTCTGACTATAGGTGCCTCCAGGCTGCATTCCTGTGGGGGAAGCCCCAGCTGTATCTGCGGTGGAGTGTCAGAGGGGAACAAGGATCCCTTCTCCAAGGCCCTTCATGATCAGAGAAGCTGCCTGCTGTTGGGGTATAGATGCAGACTTTCTCTACTGTGCCCAGCCCTGTAATTGTGTCTCTGCTGTGAAGAACTACCCACCAGTGCAAAGATCTGTAACTCAAGGCCTGGTGTTCAGATTCTTTTATCCCACAGGGTGATCTTTTGATGTGGTGCTCTCCTGCTTCCTCTAGGAATGGGGCTTTCTGAGAGCCAGACTGCAGTGATCTTTATTGCTGTTCTGGGTCTAGCCACCCAGCAGGGCTACCAGGCTCCAAGCTGGTGCTGGGGAATATCTGCAAAGAGTCATGTGATGTGACCTGTCTTCAGGTTTTCCAGCCATAGATACCAGCACTGGCTCTGGTGGAGGTGGCAGAGGAATGAAGTAGACTCATTCAGAGTCC
Source organism: Homo sapiens (assembly GCF_000001405.40). NCBI lineage: Eukaryota > Metazoa > Chordata > Mammalia > Primates > Hominidae > Homo > Homo sapiens. The sequence continues at coordinate 97,722,387 of NC_000011.10, read as the reverse complement.
TTGGTAGTAGATTGTTTAGTGTGCTGGCTTTATCAAATGCTGGCTATGCTAGCAGTGAAGTTGTTACATGGACAGACTCAGGACCTTTGGTTAGCCAGGATGTTGCAGCTGGTGGTATTAGTCATTGTTTTCTTTTTCCTGGGAGCAGGATTATTCTGTCTTGAGTTGCTATAATGGCCTGAGATGATTGGCCTCCAGCCAGGAGGTGGTACTTTCAAGAGAACACCAGGTCTGGTATTAGCAATGTAATATAAACTTGCCCTAAGTTGGCCAGAGTAGGTATTCTGGTTTCTCAGGCAATGTGCGGGGCCACAAAACTCCCAAGAGTATATGTATTTTGTGTTTGGCTACCAGGGTGGGTAGAAAAAAACCATCAGGTAGGGGCAGGGTTAGGCAGGTCTGAACTCTCCTTGGGCAGGGCTTGCTATGACCATTGTGGGGGATGGTGTTGTGATTCTCGGGTCAATGGGATTAGGTTCCAGAGAAGATTATATAGTTAATAATAATCTGCTGTGCTGTATAGTTCTCCAGGGAAGTGGGGGATAGCCAGTAGCAAAAGGTCTCACCCAGTTCCCATGCAGTTGGTGAGGCTGTTCTGGCTCCCACAGTGCCCCGCTAACAGCATCAAGTTTAGATGCAGGCAGCCTGCATGAGGAACTCAGACCTTGTCCCAGACTATAAGCTTCCCCACTGAACAAGCAAGCTAGGTTTTCAGCCTTGCCCCTCCCTGTCTGTCCACAATGTTCGCGGTGGCTCCTGCACTCATATCTGCAGGACTTCTCCTTTGCCCCCAGATTCTGCTCACAAAAAGTTTGTGCACATTCAAAATTATTACAAAATTCAGTTGGAAGCTTTTTTCACCCTGTTAACACTCCCTAATCCCATTGTTTGCCTTCCCTGAGGGCCCCTGTGAGATATAGTCAGGAATGGCTTCCCTGGGCTTAAGCTGGAAAATGGAAGTGCCTCTGAGGCTCTTCCTGCTGATGCTTCTACTTGTATATTTCAGACAACTCCTTAAATCCATTTCAGCTCTAGATAAGGTTAAATTCTTCTGTGGTCTAAATTTTCCAATTCCCCAGCGGGAATGTGCATTCAGAAGCAGGTTTTCCCCCACTCACACTTTGGGAACACACAGTTTTTCACCTGCTTCATGGAATTTGAAGCGGTGTGCTGCTTTTTTCAAAGGATCTGTAAATTCTTACAGTTTTCCTGGTACATTCCTGCAATAGCTCTTGGAGCAAAAGTTCATAGTGTGAGTTGCCACACACTATTCTGTCCATCCAAGTGGGAGATGCATGTTAGCCCTGTTTCCTATCTGCCATTTTCCAAAGGTCTCCTCAAAATACATAATATTTAGAGAAAACCCAATAACATCATATTGTTAATCCTAATTCAAATATAAGACTGAAAATTATAGGTTCTTTCTTAACATCTTCCATCTCTTTTATTTCATAATGAAAATTTTGCTTTCTAACTATATACATGTTGGGTGAAGATACTTTCATTTATTATTAATAAGCTACATTATACCCAAGGGACTCCCTTTCTTCACCTGTCTTACACATATTTATGTCAAGTGTGAAGTTTCTCATTGTAAGTGGAGTAATTAGCTTTTGTGGGAAACTCTGGATTCAGAACAGCAAAACATATATGTTAGTAATAGTCATTATTTTTTTTCAGTTTTTTAAGATATAATTGACATATCGTATATCTCACATATTTAAATTATACAATTCAATTGTTTTTAGTGTGTTTAGAGATATGTGCAATGGTTACCATAGGCAATTTTACAACACTGTCATCATTTCAAAAACTAACGTCATACCCACTAGCTCTCCCCAACACTCCTTCACAGTTCTAAGCACCCACTAGTATGTTTTCTGTCTATATAATATCGTTTCCTATTTTTGCCTTTCAAATGAGTGAAATAATATAATGTAAAGTGTTTTGTGTCTGGTTACTTTCAGTTAGCATAATGTTTCAAGATTTATTCATGCTCTAGCAATATCAGTACTTTTATATTTTATGGCTGAATAATATTTCATCTATAGACATACTACATTTTGTCTATCCTTTTATCTATTGATGGACATTTGCATTGCTTCTACTTTTTGGCTATTATTAATTGTGTTGTTAAAATATTAATGTACAAGCTTTTGTCTAGATATATGTTTTCATTTCTCTTGTGTGTTTACCTGGGAGTGGAATTACTGAATCACATAGTAACTCTATGTTTAATCACTTGAGAAACTGCCAAACTGTGTTCCAAAATGGCTGTACCATTTTAAATTTATACTAGGAGTGATGGATATTTCAATTTCTCTATATCCTTTTTAATACTTGTTAATTGATGTTTTTATTTTTCAAATCCTCATGTGTGTAAAGTGTTACAATATTGTGGTTTTCATTTACATTTGCCTGGTGATTATGTTGCACATCTTTTTTGTATGTGTATATTGGCCATTTTTATGTCATCCTTGCTAAATGCCTAGTCAGATTCTTTGTTCATTATTTAATGGGATTATTTTTGTCTTTTATTATTGAGTTGTAAGAGGTATTCATATATTCTAGATACAAGTACCTTTTTATAAGTATGATTTGCAAGTAGTTTTTTCCATTCCATGGATTGTCTTCTCACTTTCTTGATAGAGTATCTTATTCAATTCCCACATATTTGTTAATTTTCCAATTCCCTCTTATTATTGATGTATAATTATTTTATTATGATCAAAGGACATATTCTGTATTTTTTCATCCGTTTTAAATTTAGTGAGGCTTGTGTTTTGGTCTGGTATATGGCTCATCTTTAAGAAGGTTTTCTGTACACTTGAAAAAAATGTATATTCTGCTTTTAGTGGTGGAGTTTTCTATAGATTAGATCTAGTTAATTTACAGTATTGTACAAGTCTTATATTTCCTTTTTAATATACTGCCTAGTTTTTCTATCTAGCATTGACAGTGGGGTACTGAAATTTCTAACTATTAATAGAGAAACACCTAATTTTCCCTTTAATTCTGTCACTTTTATTTCAAATATTTTGAGGCTCTGCTGTTGGGTGCATATTATGTTTATAATTGCTATATCTGCATCTTTGGCAGTCCCTTTTATCAATATAAAATTTTGCTTTATTTTTTCAACATTTATTCACTTTCAAGTCTATTTGTGTGGCTATTTTCAGCTGTGAACTATTGCAGGTCATTTATGGTTATTGTTTGTATGATACCTCTTTTCCCATCTTTTATCCCTTATTACATTTTAATAATATCATATTTTAAAGGTATATATTAATATCATTAATCTTACATCATAGTCTTACTCTTTAATTTATCATATGTTTAATTCTAAGAAAAATTTTTCTCTGTTGTTTTGGTTTTCCTTTAATTTTTTAAAATGTACATGGCATTTATATTTTACTAAGACTTATGTATTTACTTACACAGTGCTAGGATTCACTCAGTGCTAAGATTTATCATCGACGTCGTTGGTAGCTTTATTTCATTTCTTTTGTGGAATATTCTAATGTGTGACTATGCCACTATCTATCCGTTATACTTTCAGTGTATATGATTTGTTTTCAAGTTTTTGCTAGTTCAAACAGTGATGTTGTGAGTATCAGCTGTCTATAGGCAAGAGATTTGTTGAGTATATACATACTAAGAATGGGGTGTCTGTGAAAGTATATATTGTCAATATCAATATGATGCCAATTTTTTATCAAAGCAATTGTACCAATGTATACTCCCATGAGTGCCTGTTAATTCACCCTGTTGTATTGTTAAAGTTATCACCTTTTACCACTAGAGGCACAAAAAGTCATATTTCATTTTGGGCCTTTACATGACTCAATTGTCCTAATATAGAAAATTATCTTACTTATTTCCTTCTGCATCACTATTCTGCACATTCATTGGTGACTAACTGGTTTTGCCAGATAAAATATTTCTGGAGACTTGTTGCAGAACAATATAAATATACTTAACACTCCTGAGCTGTACCGTTAAAATAGTTCATTATATGTTATATGTATTTTACTACATTTTTGTTTTTTTGAGATGGAGTCTCACTCTGTCACCTAGGCTGGAGTGCAGTGGTGTTGAGAGGTGACAACGTGCCGGCAGCCCTCGCTCACTGTCAGGGCCTCCTCGGCCTCGGCGTCTGCTCTGGCCATGCTCGAGGAGCCCTTCAGCCCGCTGCTGAACTGTGGGAACCCCTCTCTGGGGCTGGCCAAGGCCGGAGCCGGCTCCCTCTGCTCGCAGGGAGGTGTGGAGGGAGAGGTGTGGGCGGGAGCCCAGGCTGAGTGCCGCGATGGTGGGCCGGCGCGGGTTCCGGTGGGGGCGGGCTCCTTGGTGCGGCAGGCCGGAGCCTGCTGGGCTTGATTACAGGCTGGGTCCCGCGCATGGACCACCGTTCCCTCTTCATGGGGTCGTTGGCCATGATGGCAGGTCTCCGTGTCTTTCTCCCTTCCCCTCTTTTCCTCTTGGTTGTCTGGGACGAGATCCCTCTGGGCTGCCAGAGTGCCCAGGCTAGGTGCCACAAAGTCCTGGGGCGAGTGTCAGTGGGAGGTGAAGCCGGCTGGGCTTCTGGGATGGGTGGGGACTTGGAGAACTTTTCTGTCTAGGTAAAGCATTGTAAATGCACCAATCAGCACTCTGTGTCTAGCTAAAGGTTTGTAAACCCACCAATCAGCACTTTCAAAATGGACTAATCAGCTCTCCATAATATGGACCAATCAGCTCTCTGTAAAATGGACCAATCAGCAGGATGTGGGTGGGGCCAGATAAGGGAATAAACGCAGGCCATCGGAGCCAGCAGCGGCAGCCCGCTCAGGTCCCCTTCCACGCTGTGGAGGGTTTGTTCTTTCGCTCTTTGCAATAAATCTTGCTGCTGCTCATTCTTTGGTCTGTGTGGCCTTTAAAAGCTGTAACACTCACCCAGAAGGTTTGCAGCTTCACTCATGAAGCCAGCGAGACCATGAACCCACTGGAAGGAATGAACAATTCCAGACATGCTGCCTTTAAGAGCTGTAACACTCACCACGGGGGTGCATGGCTTCACTCCTGAAGTCAGCGAGACCACGAACCCACCAGAAGGAAGAAACTCCGGATACATCTGAACATCTGAAGGAACAAACTCCAGACAAACTCCAGACACACCATCTTTAAGAACTATAACACTCACTGCGAGTGTCTGCAGCTTCATTCTTGAAGTCGGCGAGACCAAGAACCCACCAATTCCGGACACAGCATCTCGGTTCACTGCAAACTCCACCTCCCAGGTTTAAGCAATTTTCTGCCTCAACCTCCCGAGTAGCTGGGATTACAGGTGCCTGCCACCATGCCCAGCTAATTGTTTTTGTATTTTTAGTAGAGACAGGGTTTCACCATCTTGGCCAGGCTGGTCTTGAACTCCTGACCTCAGGTGATCCACCCACCTTGGCCTCCCAAAGTGCTGGGATTACAGGTGTGAGCCACTGCGCCTGGCCTACAATTAATTTTTTAATGTAGGTTTGAAAGAATATATCATCAGTAGGACCCAGCAGAAAAAAAAAATGAGAGGTGATATGTGGAAAGAATGAGAAACTGACAGGAAGGGTAGTGATGATATGGGGTGAAAATGACAAAGCTATCGATACAAAGATTGTTGAGTCATGAGTGATGCCTGTGAGAACTGGGCAAAAGACAAAGGAATGAATTCAAGCCTCAAAATTCCTGAGTAAAACTTGGTGAAATTTCTTGGTCGGTTTTTGCATGGTTGTCTAAATAGCTTTAAGGTTATTACTTACTTCAGTCCTTATTATGTAAGCCTGTCACTGATTTGCAAGCTCAAAATATTTAGGCCAAGAGTTTTCAATCTAAGAAGTCTTACCTGATTGGACTTTATGTGTTCAATTAAGTATGTATTACATTATTTGTTTTAGTGAAAGGACGTTGGTATAAATAGAGGGCCTGAATTATTAACAATGTTAAGCGCCAAAGGTAAAATTTCAAGTGAAATAATCAGAAGAGTTCTCCTTTGTTATAAAAATTTATTTTATCACACTTTGTTCCTGTAGTTTTTGCACCTTTGGTTAATTTATTTTGAATGAAGTGACACTTTCACACTTTTTACACTACCATTTGAATCTTCTATTATGTGTTTTGCTGTACATTTTACTGAGACTTCATTTCACTTTATTCTCTTAGGGCATTATTCTATTTTTATGCCTTATTTCCCAGGATTGAATAATTTTATTTTAGGTATTAGAATTCCTTGCAATGATCAAAGGAAACATACTGTATGGAGTATATGTATGAGAAAAATAAGGATTGGATAAGTTACACAAGTCTTGAAAAAAATATGTACTGTGTTTGAATCTCTTTCATGATAAACTTGTTCAATGAATGTGTAATAGTATATTTAATTCTCCTGGCCTTAGTGCTCATGTTAAAACAGAAATAACAATACTTAACTCTGCAATTAGTTTTATGATATATACAAAGAGTTAGGAAACAGTTATGATGATGATGGAAAAAATGAATTTTGGACATATTTTTAAGAATGAAGATCAGAGTGTATTAAAACTGTAGAATATATCAAACAGACACTGGAGTGCATAAAATTAAGTGTATAGGTTGTTGTGTTCTAATGCAAATATTGCTGTCAATTAATTACTTCTTTGCTACTTACCAATTACAATTCCTCAAACTTTGCTTAGAGGTAAAAATTATACTGGCTTTTGATTATCACTCCATGTTTTCTTTAGAATGGTACTATCTATGGGTACATGCATAAATAAGAAGGTGTTTGTTTCCCAGTTTGAACTTTACATGGACAGAATCTTAAAGTGTTATGGTGTAAACAATTGTCTCCCTAAAATTCATATGTTGAAATCCTAACCGATAATGAAATGATGTTAGGTGCTGGCAACTTTAATATGTAATTAGGTCACCAAGGCGGAGCCCTCATGAATGGGATTAGTGTTCTTGTAAGAATAGACGGAGAGGTTGCCCTCACTGTCTCTGTTCTGTTCTTCATTACATGAGGACACATCAAGAAAATGGCCACCTGTAAACTCTCACGAGACACCAAATCTATCAGCTCCTTGACCTTGGACTTCAAGCAAATTCTTACAACAAAGTTATGAAGATTTTTAAAAATTACTTTTGATCTTTATTGTGTTCATTTTCACATTTAGCTCTCAAATCTACCCATATCTAATGACTATGTACAGTTTTAGTTTAGAATGTGTTTCATACCCTCCTCATACACATAGTTTTCCTATAATTATTTGTTGGAGCATTTTTTTCCCCTTTGCTTTGCTGAACCACCTATGAAATATCTTAGCTTATATCTGGCCTCTGTTGTACTAATTGAACTAATACTATTCTAAATTATGATAATAATAACAAATGTTGATATGTAGTGGAGAGGCGGCCATCCCTTGTGTTTTTTCAAAGTGGTTCTCACTATTATTCCTGTAAATTCCATATAAATTTCAGAGTTTCACCATCTCTACAATGTTACATGATTCCTATTACAAGTGGCTAAAATTTATTGATATATTTGAGAACCATTATTTTTAAAATAGTCTTTATATAGATAGATAGATAGATAGATACACTCTTTCTATATGTATATATAGAGTCTATCTTCTTTTTTTTGAGACAGAGTCTCAAATTATATCAATATTATTTTATGGTTTACTGTGTTGAATTAGAGGTCTTGCATTTGTGGTGGTGTTAGAATTATTCCTAGGTATATAATGCCTTTATGGTATTTTTTCTTTTTTATGTTATTGCTGTATGTAAACATAAAATTGGGTTTGTATATTAAATTTTATTCACAAATGTGTCTGGATTATAATCAAAACAATTTGTAAACCTGTTTAAATTTTTATATATCCTACATATTATCAGTAAATAATGACTTTTGTCCTCTTTCCCAAGCCTCATACTTTTCATTTCTTTTTTGCTCTTTACTTTATGGGTTAGGCATTTCACTACAGTATATAACAGAAGTGAACCGATAAAGCTTACCTGGTCCATTATCCTTCAAAATTGGCTTACAAAATTTTATTATTCAGTGAGGAAAATGTATGAAGTTTCTTTGGTGGGCACTTTTTAAAAATTAAATTAAGGGAGTTCTGGTATATTCTGAGTTTTCTATAGGCTTTCACCGTTAAAGACTGGTGATTTTTATCAAGTATTTTGTCTGTATATATTAAGATAGTCATATTCATCTTTAATGTGTAAACGTGGCTAAAATTGATTTAAAAAATTAAGTAAATCTATTATTTTTATAAAATCAAATTGAGGATTGACGGTTTTAAATTGCTGAGTTTGGAAAGCTAACATTCTATTAACAAATTTTGTATCTATACTGATAAGTGAGATTTTTTGATAGCTTTTATATTTGATAATTTTTGTTTCTTAATTAAGGCATGTATTCCTTCTATCATGCACGTGTGTTTCTGTTTATATATTTAATTTTTGCTCATTTCTGCTATATTATGTGCTTTCTATTTGTGCCAACTCTTCTAAGATATAGACACTTTACTGAAAGAAACATATAAATTGATAATAAGTGCATATACTTTTGCTGAATACCATTAGTAATTACCATTAGTAATAAGTGCATATACGTTTGATCAATACCATTAGTAAATGAAGATCACAATTAAAGATTATTCCAAGGACTAGAATGGCTAAATTTTAAAAGATTGATAATACTATTCCCTTATTTATTTTTTTTACCCAGACAACATTTAATAATGGATTCAGAATTTTAAGCTATTAAATGTGTTAGGAGAATTTGCTCTGTACATTAATGAAAATCTTGTAGATTTGTACTGATACTAAGAACATAATATTCATCAAAATCCCTGAAAATCTCACACAACCTCTCCCTCAGTGTCAGTTACACAGCCAGGAGGTATTTCTAGTAATCCATAAACTATTCCCCAATATTAGCTCATAAATGTCACCCTTGGACTCTAATATTATTTTTTCCTTTATGACACCACATGCAGTCCTTAATAAGTAGGAATTTGCTATGTAAATAGAGTTGTAAAATTATATATTCTCCTAAATGATCTTTTAAAAAAGATTTCTGGGATTTCATTATTCATAATCAGGTCCTAGTTAGTTTGGCAATGACTACATTACGTCTTTGTGTTCAAATCATGACCAAATTCAAGATCTCCATGGGATGCCATACTCTGGGCAGATTTTCACTGAGATTTGATATGAATGCAAGAAGCCTCATGTAAAACCATACATTCTACCTGTGTGCAGGATACCTTTTAGAACTGTTAGCAAAGAAAGGGCTAAAATGCATAGTCAAGTATGCCAAACTCACATTCTTCATGTAATTGAACCCAATTGATAAGAATATTGATTTGTTCAGGACTTTAGGGCCAAAAATAATATAATTATCCTCCATTTTCCTATGGTATTCAACCTGATGTTATTTTATCTTCAGTACCACCCAAAACTATATATTATATAATTATAGATCTGTGTTCCCCTTTTTTGTGGTCCATTAAATTGGGATTGCCAATATTTGTTTTTTCCCTAAGAAAATCAACAGTATGTCAGAGCTGGGCATGGTGGCTCATGCCACAACGCTGTAATCCTAGTATTTTGGGAGGCCAAGGCAAAAGGATTGCTTGAGCCTGGGTGTTGGAGATCAGCCTGAGCAATACGGCAAAATCCCACCTCTACAAAAAATACACATTTAGCCAGGCATTGTGGCCCATGCCTATAGTCCCAGCTACTTGGGAGGCTGAGGTGGGAGGATGTCTTGAGCTTGGGAGGTGGAAGTTGCCACTGTACGCCAGGCTGGGTGACACAGCAAGACCCCTCTCAAAACAAAAACAAAAAAGAAATCAACAATATATCAGAATAGTTATTCTTGAAAGGTTTATGGAGGCACCTTCCTACTCTTTACATGTCCAGACTCATGAGCATAAAGATTGTAAATTTCCCTGTAAATCTATCATTATCCAATAAATAGCTGGATGACTTTGGGCATGTTATAAAGATGAGATGATCCTTAATTATGATTTTATCTATATATTTCATGTTTTAACTCAGAAACAACAAAATATTTCCAAAAAGAGTTACAATTTAGTCAGAACTAAATGCATTAATTAAGGTAATTTATCCCAAGGGAGTATATTCTTTACTTGTGAGATATAAACTAGGAGGCAATTAAGATATTTCCCGGCCTCCTTTGCTACTGCAGACAATGGATTTCCTGCTTTCCTGAAGTGGTCACGCTTACATATAACCTAACTAAGACAAAATAACCAATCATCTTACTTGTGAATCAAAATATGTATAGAAATGTGATTTAACATTAGCTTTCAACATCTCCTCTTCTGGACCTTCCTAATGATAAACTTTATTTCATTTGGCCCACATTTTCCCCATCTCAAAAAAAGTTATAATTATCTTGATTCCAGAATCTTAAGATAAAATCTGGTTGGCCTACTTCTATTCTCAAGCTTCTTCATATTATGCTTTGCAAGAAGCATAAAGAGTTGTGAAAATCCAGCAGGTTATGGTTTGAGGACTGGCAGAATTGATAGGTAGACAATGTCAGCTTGTAGGAGTTTTCACCCAAGGAGTAGTCTGTGAGACCAAGAAGGTAGTATTTGAAAACAGAGCGGCCCCCAGATGTAATATTCACCTCTCACAATCACAAATGTTTTTTGTTTTTTGTTTTTTAAGTTCCAGGATACATGTGCAGAATGTGCAGGTTTGTTACATAGGTAAATGTGCGCCATGGTGGTTTGCTGTGCTTATCAACCCATCACCTAGGTATTGAGCCCCATATGCATCAGTAATTTGTCCTGATGCTCTCCCTTCTCTTCCCCCCTCTGCAACAAGCCCAGGTGTATGTTGTTCCCCTCCCTGTGTCCCTGTGTTCTCATTGTTTAGCTTTCACTTATGAGTGAGAACATGTGGTGTTTGCTTTTTCTGTTCCTGTGTTAGTTTGCTGAGGATGATGGCTTCCAGCTTCATCCATGTCCCTGCAAAGAACATGATCTCATTCATTTTTATGGCTGCATAGTATTCCATGGTATATATGTACCACATTTTCTTTATCCAGGCTAACATTGATGGGCATTTGGGTTGGCTCCATGTCTTTGCTATTGTGAATAGTGCTGCAATACATATATGTATCTAAAATCATAAAAACCCTAGAAGAAAATCTAGGCAATACCATTCAGGACGTAGGCATGGGCAAAGATTTTATGATGAAATCACCAAAAGCAGTTGCAACAAAAGCAGAATTGATAAATGGGATCTAATTAAACTAAAGAGCTTCTGCACAGCAAAAGAAACTATCATCAGAGTGAACAGGCAACCTGCAGAATGGGAGAAAAAGTTTGCAATCTACTCATCTGACAAAGGTCTAATATGCAGAATTTACAAGGAACTTAAATAAATTTACAAGAAAAAAACAACCCCATTAAAAAGTGGGCAAAGGAAATGAACAGACACTTCTCAAAAGAAGACATTTATGTGGCCAACAAACACATGAAAAAAAGCTCAACATCACATCCCTGATCATTAGAGAAATGCAAATCAGAACCAAAATGAGATACCATCTCATGCCAGTCAGAATGGGGATTATTAAAAAGTCAAAAAACAATAGATGCTGCCAAGGCTGTGGAGAAATAGGAACACTTTTACACTGTTGGTGAGAATGTAAATTAGTTCAACCATTTCCTCAAGGATCTAGAACCAGAAATATCACTTGTCCCAGCAATCCTACTACTGGGTATATTCCAAAAGGAATACCATCATATATTTAAGAGGAACAATGTTATGTCACTGCTTTTATGTGAGTTTGAAATAGTACGAATCATATCCAGAAAACAACATAATTTATGAGAATTAGTAATTTGGCTATTACATCCATATGGTCTTTTGTCAGCTTTTTTGGATTAGGAATGGGATCTGTTGTCTTAGTTTAATTTTTTTTTAATTATTTTTCTTACATTGGTCTGTGCTTCAATGTTCAAAATAGCTTTAAAATGCTATTAACCACCTATTGTTTGATTAAATGTTCCAATATAGAACTATCCAACAAAAATGAGCAGGATAATCTGACATGTAGTATTTGAAACGACTGCGACTGGAAACCTGATGTGTGCAGATGACTCTTCAAAACATGGTGTGGATTGGAATGATTAGATTACATTTCCAATCTAATTCCATCTTGGGCTGAAGAATGATTATAAATTAGAACTGAGAATTGAGATCGTATGTTAACATAATTTACATGAAAATGTAGATTACTGGCTTCAACACGACTTAGTTGTGTGTTCCAGGAAAACTTTGCATGAGAAAGGTAACACTGTAAAGCAATAAATATCTTTATCACACTTTTTTTTTTCAAAAAATTACCAGAATTATTGGAAGTGGACACAGAGCTTAATTGTCAAGTATAGCTTGCTTATCAAGACTCATTTTAAAATAGTTACTTCATTGTGTCCACCAATCCTAAGCTATTATATCACAAACTTTGCCCAATCCTAATAAGTTCAACACCTAGAAAGATGTGCATTAATCCGCTTACCAAATGGAAAAGCTCTTCTTTCTCCCCTTTTGAGACACTGTCAAAATAGTGTGCTTCCTGACTGCAATAAGACCTAATAAATTTAGCTTTACTTTATTAACAGGTCTTCCGGTAATATTTTGGATGAGTTCAACAACATTTAGCCATGAAAGATGCTTGAAGACAACATGGAATAGGGAGATCTTGAAACAAATTCTACTACTAACTGTTTTTGTCCATTAACCTTTCTGGACCTCAATTTTCTCATTTCTAAAATGAGTATTAATACAGTCATTTTATAAGTTTCTTTTCATTAAATGTAAATGAATAAAGAATCTATGACTAGACCTAAGGAGTTTTCATGATCAGAAACACATTTATTTAATTTATTTAGAGGGTGATTTCTATTGACACTAAATATTTTCTTCTTGTATCACTTACTTCAGTACCAAGATGGTATGCTTTAAATACCTTGTGATCCTGTAGATCGAGTTCACCTATTATTTCTGATGCCTCATATTAGGTTTTAATTTCATATTTAATTTTTTTGTGGGGATGTTTGTGGTCTACAGCTTAGTTCTTAACCATGATATTTACAGGGTTTGTGTTGCTTTCTGCATTCCTGGTATGAGTACAATGGCTGGCTCATACAGTAAACAAATATACACAGTTCATTTCCTTACTGCTCTTTTCTCAAAGGAAAAATGTTTTGCTTAAAAAATCAAAACACTTTTAAAAAATAATAAAATACGACCTTGCCTACTAGACAACAGCCGCGGCTGGTGTAACTTCCACCGAGTTGCTCCAGGCAAAGCCAAACCTTGAAGAATATTCTGGGACTTCTTAAGTCTCCTGATTTCCTGGATATTAGGGACTTCTCAGGAGCATAGATGAAGTCTATTTTGCTAGAAGCACTCTGCGAAAATGACTTTTTAAGATTTTTTCCCTGTAGACTGAGACCTCATTATTTCTTTCTTCAGGTAATAGGAAATTTTGAATCTGCACTTTTTTGTCACTTTGAGTTGGGAATAATTTTCTTCAATATGTAAATATTGGCTAAAATGACCATTATTCCATTCACGTTATAATTACTTTGTCAATCAATCAATTAAGTAAGCAATTCCAACTGTGCATTATGCAGACACAATTACGGATGATCTTGTGAGGAGAAAAAGAAATACAGTTATTAATAATAGGCACCCCCTCAAAGAGGTAACCAACAAGTAGGAAGAATATATATATTATATTACATATTACATATATAAATATACAAGCAGATACAGCAATAGAGTATTGCAATTTAAGAGATATGGCAGTCAAACTGAAAGGCAGAGCAAGAAATTTCAAAGGGATTTAAAGGATTGTTAATTAAACAGGTGAATGAGGCTTCATAAAGAATGTGTGGTAAAAATATAAGACAAAATTTGAATAGAGAAGAAAAGTGCAGGCAGGTATAGCAGCATGAACAAAGCTATAAATGTGGGTATAGTGAAGGTACTTTGGAAGTAGTGGATAGACTGAATTCACCATGATTGGCTAGGTAAAAGTAAGAAGTAAAAATGAACACATTAATTTTTGACATTAGAGTAACATAGTGATTTGGTTAAACCCCCAAACTGTTATTTGTACATTGCTTATCATGGTTTTTCAGTAGATTTAATATCAAATTTTATTGTTATTATAAAAATAATGTTTACTATTAAAAGTTCAATAATACAGGCATATATAAAATAGACAACCATAATTTCGTGCATGTCTCTGACCAAAGATACCTAGTTTTGACTCTTTGGAATATAGTATGCTGCTATGCTAGACATTTTTCTATATGGGTTAGTTGATATATTGAAGGGTTTTCTTGTTATTATAAAATAGTGTTCTGAAATTACCTTTCCTTACACATACATATTTCCTAAATGGGATCATACTATTCGGTATTTCCCTTATTCACAACATATATAGACTTTTTGTCATCTTTGCATCAACTCCAAGTTAACTAACTATAGGATTGACAAGATTTTGATATTTTTAATGTGAAAATTTAGTTATTTTCCCATATTTTAATATTATCAGTAATGCAACTTTAGGCATTTATCTTTGCAAACTTGTGTGAATAAGTTCTATGAGATAAATTCCTAGAAATTTACTAGCTAATTTAAAGGTAATACATTTTAAAATTTGATTCCTGTAAACAATATATGAGAGTGGCTGTTTCTATTATCTAAGAAATACTGTGTAGCATTCATGTCTGCAATACGTATATGCTGGTTAATTAACTATCTGTGTTTATTGAGTATTTATTATAGAAAAGGCACTATTTTCAATGTTTACATGAGTTAACTCATTTAATACTCATAATACCCCTATGAAGTAGGGAATTTTTTCTCAGATGAAAATACCAAGGCACAAGGATACTTGTGCTTGCTAAAGTCATATAGGTAGTACGTATCAGAACATGGATTCTAAGTCTGCTCCAGCCTTCCTCTTAACTGTAATTTAATTATGCTACTAACATGCAGCCTTATTTAAAGACAAATAAAAAGAACCATCACAAAGTTAAATAATATGTCTAAACTTGCGCAGTAGATGTAGCACCTGCAATTTGCCTCATCAGTCGGAAGTGGATTTGTTAAAATATAATTTACTGCTGCCTGTTCTTTAAAAGGACTATATGGTTTAAAAAATCAAAACTGTTTGTCTTGACAAACTATTTAAAATAGATCTAGCCAAATAAATTATTAGGGATAAACCTGGTAGACTGGTGGTGATCGAGATAATCTTTAATGTGACAGTTATTTTATGAATTTAGCGTAAAAAATTCTACATCACTAAAAATATATAAGTGCAGATATGTTACTTATGAATACATTATATTATTGTGGTTTAGGCCAGCTCCGTTTTCTCAATTATTGATAGATCTATTTCTGTGATCATGCTTTAAGAAGTGTAATACCAACATGTCACCACAGATCCACAGATTCATACCACAGGAAAATGTGTAAATGTGGTTTTGAAAAATGCAAATGAGGCTCCACAATCCATGCCCATCCATTTCAAAAAAAGCTTCATTGTGCATGTTTTACACAACACTTTTGCTTCTTTCCCCTCTAACATTAGAAAATATTTAAGTAGCTGAGAATTGGTACTTCAACTTCTGAGGAAGTAAACATGTTAAAGAGCAGAAGGTGACATAAAAAATAGGTCTGAGAAATTTGCCTCTTAATGAAGCATATGGCTACATATGTGTGTGTACATATATATATATATATAGAGAGAGAGAGAGAGAGATAAACATTATATATAATGGGTTAGGAATAATTTGTTTTGCCTGTTAATTTTGAAGACATTAATATGTTGAATATTCATTGCTAGAAATTATATTTTATAATATATGAAATAGCTGGTGATATGTGTGTGACATTATATAAATATTTACATATAAACACATATTGGTATGCAAACATAAGTTGTAAAATAGTTAGCATATTGGGGATGCTTGGAAATAGAATATTGGACTTTCATATTTGGGATCATCGTGACCTCAGTATAAAACTTACACAGTTGTACAATCATGGCAGGGAAATGCCTAGAAATTTTAAAACTTAAGATGATAACATTGATTGTCTTGAGTCTTATGATACATTTTAATATCATTGAGCATCTTCACCCAGCAAATTCATAAACTTAAAAGTATTGTGGAAAGTGAAAGAAGAAACCTTACAATGTATTTATGGTTGCTGATATTCTTGACATCTTACTGGTGTGAGATGGTATCTCGTTGTGGTTTTGATTTGCATTTCTCTGATGACCAGTGATGATGAGCATTTTTTCATGTGTCTGTTGGCTACATAAATGTCTTCTTTTGAGAAGTGTCTGTTCATGTCATTTGCCCACTTTTTGATGGGGTTGTTTTTTTCTTGTAAATTTGTTTAAGTTATTTGTAGATTCTGGATATTAGCCCTATGTCAGATGGGTAGATTTCAAAAATTTTCTCCCATTCTCTAGATTACCTGTTCACTCTGATGGTAGTTTCTTTTGCTGTGCAGAAGCTCTTTAGTTTAATTAGATCCCATTTGTCTATTTTGGCTTTTGTTGCCATTGCTTTTGGTGTTTTAGTCAGGAAGTCCTTGCCCTGAATGGTATTGCCGAGGTTTTCTTCTAGGGTTTTTAGGGTTTTAGGTCTAACATTTAAAATTTAATCCATCTTGAATTAATTTTTGTGTAAGGTGTAAGGAAGAGATCCAGTTTCAGCTTTCTACACATGGCTAGCCAGTTTTCCCAGCAGCATTTATTAAATAGGGAATCCTTTCCCCATTGCTAGTTTTTGTCAGGTTTGTCAAAGATCAAGTGGTTGTAGATGTGTGGTGTTATTTCTGAGTCATTTACAGTTTTATATGACATTACATGTATTCCTGCAATGTATGTTTTTTGTGCACTCATGCCTGATTTCTGACTTCTGCATAAAACAAAAGAAATTGATCTTGAAAGTACAGGGATTGTAGACCGCTTTAATCAGTAATCCAAGTTAACTACTGAGAAAAATGTAGGTGATGCATTATGCTAGTCTCATATTGTTTGAATGTAAAATTATGATGACTAAACTCATAGAGGCCTTTAATTGTTCATCATTTAGTTTCTCAGTCTCTATTCTTAGACACCCTTTCCAGCTTTTAAATATTTTACCCCTAATGACTACATACATAGCTCAGGATCATGTGCATTTTTAAAAATTTTTATTTTGCTATGATTCAAATGTGTTAAAAATTTACAAGATGGTAACTGAAACCAACGTACTTCTCTGCCACAGTGTTAATACTGGGATCAAACAAAATATGTTAGCTGCTTCTCCACGAAATAACTACTCGAGATAAGACTGTAAACAAACATAACAGATTACTTAAAACCTGTAGTTTACTCATTGAGACTCTCTTGCCGTGCTTGCCAATCGAAAGGCAATTTATTATCAGTTCCTTTCCATTCTAAACACTTTCATACCTGGAAAAACCTGCCTTACTTATCCTCTTAATTTACTCATTTTGAGATATTACTAAGACTCGGTCAAAGTGGCATTCTCTGTTAATGCAGGAGCTATAGCTGATCAATAAGCTTTTCTGGTGGTCTTTTGGGGAGCTCCCTTATATCTTCACTCAGTTTCACCATTTGCTACATTTATTTTATTAGTATCTTTTTCTTTTGAATTATGTTGTCTCATTCACTTGAGGTAAGTTCCAGACATCATGCCCCTTTACTCCTTCATGCTTCAGTGTGCATTTCTAAGAACTAGAACAGTCTGTTTCATAACCACAGCACATTTTCAAAATCAGAAAATTTAGTTTTATAAAATATGATGATCGAATGTACAGTCCATATTACAAATTTGCTGAAAGCAATTTTAAACCTGTATCAGTATTATGGACAAGGTAACAGAGACCTGTTAATTCAGAAAGTTAAGTCAGAAGAATTTGAGTTTTTAATCTACTTAGGTGCTAACAAATTTGCTTCCCACTGTGTGTGTGTGTGTGTGTGTGTGTAGTATATATACACATACAGTATACAAATGTTTATATAGATACATATAATACATATATTAATATGTATATATACACATGTGTGTGTGCACATAAAATGTCTGCCTCTGGTTCAGAGACAAAGACAGTTTATTACTCATTGCAAAATCAGAAGCCAAAGCAACAGCTTGCTTCAGTACCCCAAGCTCTAATCTCAAAAACAGAACGTGGTACGGAACAGATGGTACTTGCACATGTACTCAAGTGCATTACAGGAAAGCCATCCTGAAATTAAGAAGCCTAATGGCTACATTCTCCCCTCCAGAGAAAGAGAGAGACTTATCATTATTCTGGAATTTACTTAGGGAAGGAGAGCTCTATACTTTTACCTCTTGGACCTCAGCAGGTAGTAAGATATTCCTCAGCATTACTATCCTGCAATGTCTCTCTCTCTCTATAAACATTCTTAAGCTGGCGGTAAATGACTTTAAGAGGACCTGGACTCTTTAGAAACATGAGATACATGGAAAATTGTCTCTCAGCAAGTCCTAAGTTAGTTATTTACAAGAAAAAAATAATGTGTTTACAGCAAATATATCACTCCCCTTTTTACATATTTCTAAATAATGCCTTACTTTTGTTAAAGAAAACCAGAGCTGACAGAAATTAGAATAGTGAAGATAAATTTTATTAACAAACAAACAAATAAAATGATTCCAGTAGGAGAAAAGACGCCTCAGTATAGAACTGGGCTCAATTCCAAACACAATGGGGATAAATGGGAATTTATAGCCAAGGAGTAGGGTGAGGGTCAGTGGATGGAAAATTACTAAGAGGAAATATCAAGGGTAGGGGGGACTCTGGCTTAATTGACTTGACAGGATTCTTGCTAAAGGAGGAGCAGGGTGATCAGATAACAAGGGTGAGGGATGAGGGATTTGATTAGATACCGAAAGTGGGAATTGTCACTACATCAATTTAGTATGATTACTGCTAAAACTGGATTCTACAAGGAAGAACATAAAGCCCAGGGTTGAGGTCTAGTGAAAAAGAGCTCAGAGGAGCCTAAGCAAAGTTCAGTCAGAGACTTTATCACCTTTGAGAAAAGCTGAATAACATCAGTGGGGACTTCAGAATTTCCATATCCAAGGAGTATAGCTATGGGTAATGGTGGTAGAAGAGAGACCAAGAGGCTTATCTAGATGATGCATTTGCCTAGAAAACAACTGCTTTCACTTAGATTGTATATTTGAGGCCCTGAGGCTTGATAAAATTTATGGAGCAGCTGCCTTCCCTTTCCTCTTTACACCACCCCTGAATGAGTACAAACGAAAAGCTTAGTTTATTTGAGCAAATAAATTTTTAAAGTACTACAAAATTTATAGGTTTGGATGGCAAATACAACAGCAAGTTATTTTAATCAACTTTCTAAGTCCTCTAAACATTGCTATAAATCAACTAAAATGAATAATTTGGCAGTTTATTATTAAAATTCATTTTTAAACATCTCAGTTGAAAAAAATGAAGTCTTCAAATGTAAATAACAGCTTAATCCAAACTATAACTCATTGAATAAGCTCAGTACTGATCCCTAGTAGCTGTAAGATATTTTCCCTTAATATGTAAAAATGATATTTTCATAATAAATATACTAGAACCTCCCATATTTTTTCTAACTTTATGTAAATTTTATTTTTTTTGTTAGAAGGATACTAAAATAAAATAAAAATTGAGGCGGTTTTTTGAATACTGATTCAATGAATGTTTAAGTAAAGTTAGAAAAGACTTTTGGAGAATGAGAAAAGATATTTAAAGATAAGAGGTGATTAAATATAAAAAGGTTAAATGAAGAAATCAATAAAAGAAGGATATCAAGATATTTTTTAAAGAATCAGAAAATGGAAGAAGATACTTGCTGTCCTAGAAATGAATAAGAAAGAATGCTGGAGGTTTTGAAGAAAACTGAACTTCTGCCTGGGAAAGTACTTGGGTGGCAAGATCCAAGTCAGCCCAAAGAATAAAATATAAAGAATTTGCTTGAGTCAATACTATAAACAGAGAAGAATGGGTAGAAGAGTACTAACAATAAAGTAGAGGAAAGTTGAATAGGGATTGTATTGGAGGATGGGGGAGTAGAAGTGTGAGATGGTGTACATGCAAGAATGAGCAAGTCGCACCAGTTTCCCAGAGCTGTCATAACAAACGACCACAAGTCCAGTGTTTTAAAACAATACAAATGTACTGTGATATAGTTCTAGAGACTAGATATCCAAAATCAAGATGTCATCAAGGCCGTGCTCTCCCTGATAGTAGTTTGGGAGAATTTTTTTGTTTCATTACAGTTTCTGATGGATTGCCTGCAAGCCTTGGTATTCCTTGGCTCATAGCTGCAGAACTTAAATCTAGTAATATGTCTCTCTTCCTCTTTTCTTATAAGGACACCAGTCTTATGGGATTCAATGCCTACCCTACTCCAGTATGACATTATTTTAACTATTTAAGTCTTCAACAACCCTATTTCTAAATAACATTACATTTCAAATTATTGGTGATTGGGGCTTTAATGTCATTTACGGGGACACAATTGAAACCCTAACATATGTGGAGGTCATTTCCACTGATGAGGGGCTGTACTCTGCTAATTGCCACCATCAAAGCATGCTTATGGAAAGGTGTTAATATTAGTGATTAGATGTACGTATTTTGGGAAGTAAGAATTATAGTTTCATAAATGAGATCATTCCATTTCTGATAATTTTGTCATATTAATTTTCTCAGAATATGTTAATGTATAAAGACACTTAATGCAGCATTAAATGTGGTATATAAAAAATAAATGCACAGCCTTAAGTAAAATTGTTAAATATATTATTGGCATTACTGAGATGATTAATTGTTAAATTTATACTTACAAAAAATTTATCATAAAGACAATTTTATATGTCATGATGTTAAGAAAAAAGATAAATATTATGTGCGTAATATAATCCTTATAGTATAGTATATATGGTATAGTATAGTTAAGCCTCAAACAGTAAGTGAAAGAAAATATGTCACATATTAGCAGTAGCTATTTTGGGGAGATAGGGTAATGAACGCTTTTTCTTTGTACTTTCCTCAATTTTAACAATTTTCAATGAAAAGCATAAGGAATTAAGAGAGAATATATAAAATAAAATAAAATAGAAAATAAATATTTTGTTATTTTATTATCTTTCCTCTTCTGAGAACACCTATTGATTGGATTTTTAGATCTCTTTTTTTAAGATTTTTAGATCTCTAATTTGATTTATTTGTGCCCCATTTTTTATCTTTGTTTTTTGGTCCTAACTTCTGGAAGTTTTATTCTACTTTGTGTTATAAACCTCTTTCCATTTCCATGATAAACATTAGATGTAGCAACAGGCAAATCAAGTTTCAGTGGTTTAGCATAATAAAGTTTAGTTTTTACACGTGCTAGGTTGTCCCTTATTATGTACCCCGAGTAACTGCAATAAGCAGGAACCAAGGGAGAGATTTCTTGTACTATGTGACCCTGCTGACTTCTAGAGCCTCAAAAACCTAGACATACCAAGCAGATAATGGCATATAATACATTATATAGCCAGGATTGGGCATTTTTACCCTTGTCTAGAACATAGCCACAGTTTCCAGCTTGAAGCAAGATTTTCGAATTGTAGTTTAGCTGAGTGCACAAAAAGATAAGAGCTAATGTTGATCTCTATATCACAGCAGTTATCTATGCTTATAAGTGTTTCTTAGCCAAACTAACTCAGAACTACTTCTGCCAATCTGAACGCATTTACAACAATATCATTTATAAAGCAGTATTTCTCTTTTTCTGTGCCTGCTTAATATTACAGGACTTCCAGCCTCCCTTAAAACATACATCTAAATAATTAATTGTTAGATAAATCACAGGAATTTTTTCAAGTGTGCTCCCAAGTGTGGTATTCTCGATCACCACGTTGTATCTACTATGGTGCTCTATTCCTTTTCTTACTCTATTGAATTATATCTAATTTCTAAATTATTCTTAAGTCTCTTGGGCCAATATTCGGTTGGCTGAAGTCTATTAAACTGCTAAAGAAAGTACTATGCCACTTCAGAAGGGTGATACAAGAAGCTACCTAACTGGAATGGCAATGTTTATATATGTAAGCGTAATAACAACTACTAGCCAGACATCACACCTACTATTTTCAAATTTCACAGTAGCTTCTTGACAGTATTAAGCAACTATTGTAAAGTCAGGCATCCTTTTCTATTTAAGTATCTTTTCTCACCTAATTCTACTTTGTTCATTTGATTGCAGCAGAAGCCAGCTGTTCATAAAATTTGAAGCTGATGCTCTGGCCCCAAGAAGTTTGGTCTGGGGGTGATCACTTGAACAAAATCAGTCAATAATTGTCTATGAACTGAGCATTTGAAATTGAGGCAGGAAAGTTTAGCCTAAGTTTAAACATATTTGTAAATTAATAAAATTTACAGCTGAGTTTTTAAGGGGCATTTTTCTGCCCGTGTATACTTATAAGCTAAAAATGACACTCTAGAGTTGAAGAATAATGCACAGCAAATGATACACCACATAAAGTTTGAGTGACTTGCTGGCTTCTTTACAGTGCTCCAGGACTTGATACCAGTTGATTTGGAGTCTCAGCTACATGACTGTTCTCAAGGTTTATCAGGTATCTTAGAAAACTTGCTTCACATGAACACGATTTCCCCTTTTCTTTCACAGGATTGATTGGGTTCAAATATTTACAATTATAAGTGTAATTCATATTTTTAGAGGCCCAAATGAAGGCAAGGGGAGAGAAGTTTAATTTTCAACAATTATGTAGTATATGAATTAAGAAGTAGTAATAACAGCCCAGTCATTTTGGATCTAAAGTTCCTATCCTTCTATCAGATAACACTGCATTGAAAAAAATTGGTGCTCACAAAATTCTTAGAACATTCAAGAAGATACTGGAAATCTATTATAAATTAACATATGAATGTGTGTGAATATTTAGACAATATTTGAATATCAGAAGAGTCAACATATATTTCTTTTGATTAAATCATACAAGGAACAGAAATGTCTGTGGGGGTTGTATTTAACTGCATATTATGTGAGAAAATGCTAAATTATACTCCTCTGATAGTTACGTATTTTAGAAGTTTGCAAAAAAAATTGTCATCTTTGTTAAACTTGAGATTAGAGGCAGCTGATTTTTAAAGAATTATTAGTTAATTAACAAAGAAATGTCATAACATCTTTTAAAAACATGTCATAGACTAGAATAATTATCTTTCTTCATTTATTAAAAAATGAGTAGTATTTTAGAAAATATGTAGATGAAGATAAACAATAAAAATTATATAAATATATAGAAAATATTTTGTTCACAATATGGTAATTATTTCCTTAGAAGATATGTGCTGAAAGGTAAGAAATAATAAAGCTAATCTACCGTTAGCAAATATCACCGTGTCTTTAGCCAAAGTCAAAATTGGTTCCCAATTTTAAATGGCAAATATTCTTAGCCTTTTTTTCACAAGTTTATGTGCATGGGAATTTTTTAAATAGCAAAAAGGATGAGTAGAAAAATAATGGCATGGCTTCTCTTCTTTTATCTGGTCAATGCATTAACTGTGATCCTTTCTGGAGAGAGAAGAGAAAGAGGAAATTGCGGAAGAAATTCTTCTTAAGAGACTTTGGACACTGCCACTACAGTAACAAATTATGACATAGTATGACATTGTTCTGGTATAAAAAGAGTTTTTCAGCTTGGGGGAACCCTAGATTAAAAAGTACAGTTTTCTTGGAAGACATCAGCAACAGTTGATGCTACTTGTTTCACTTTTTTTGATGCTACTTCTTTTTAGTGGTTTTTTTGAGTACAGAACCCAAAGAAACGTGAGACAGGATGGGGATTCTAAGAAATAATGAGAAAGAATGTTATGAAAGTAACTGGTGTCCTAACTCCATGAGTTATGTATAAAAAGGTAACATGAGTATTGATATTAGTTTTAATAAATACTTAAACTTTTCAGATCTGGCAGCACTTTAAGATCGAATTGAAGCACAAGGCAATTATTTATTAGATTTGATCAATTTTAAAAATCTTATCTAGGAAACTTTATTTCCTGGCAACGTGTTGGAATAAACTCTTGCATTGACATTTCCCCTTTCCTCAATCATCCCACTTAGAAAAAATGAAACAAGCTGACAAGATAAGCAACTTCTTAAATGTGTTCTTGAGTTGGTACTAAAGCAATTCATACTTAGTTAATCAGGCATTGAGGGCATTTGTCAAACTTCATAAATTTGTACATAAGAGTTTTTACACTTCTGTGGCTTGAGAGAGATGAAACATAATCCAGATAAGCCAACACAAAGGTCGATAAATGCCTCTTCATAAATCTAAATTCCAAATGGGTTAGAAAATAACATTCTCTGTCGGGTGCAGTGGCTCACGCCTATAATCCCAACACTCTGGGAGGCTGAAGTGGGGTGGATCACTTGAGGCCAGGAGTTTGAGACCAGCTAGGCCAACATGGTGAAGCCTCATCTCTACTAAAAACACAAAAATTAGCTGGGCATGGTGGTGCATGCCTTTAATCCCAGCTACTCGGGAAGCTGAGGCACGAGAATTGCTTGAGCCTAGGTGACGGAGGTTGCAGTGAGTGGAGATTGCGCCACTGCACTCCAGATTGGGTGACAGAGCGAGACTCTGTCAGGAAGAGAAGAGAAGAGAAGAGAAGGAAAGTAGGAAGAAAAGAAAGAAAGAGAAAGAAAGAAAGAAAGATTCTTAATACAAAAATACCTCTTTATGTGAATCATATATTCTAATGGAGGGAGGCAAACAATAAACATAATAAACATATGATGTATGTAAAGGTGATAAATGCTATGGAGAAAACATAAAGTAGCAAGAGGGACAGTGTTATGAAGTTGGCATGTTAAATACCTTAGTAAGAGAGAGCTAGCATAAAGATGACACTTAAGAAATGATCTGTAAAGGAGTGATCCGTGTGTATATCTTAGAGACACACTTTTTAGGCAAATAATACAGCCAGTACAAATTTGCACATACTCCTGGCATTTTGAAGAAAAAGCAAGAAGACCAGTATGGCTGAAAGTGTGAATAAAAGGGTAAATAGAGGAAGACTAAGTTAAAAGGGTAACAGGAAACCATATTTGGCAAGACCTTTCAAGTAGGGTAACTATATATATCCAGTTTTGTCCATGAGAATCCCAGTTAGTATACTAATCTGTTGACCAGTGTAATTTTGAGTAGAATCCTTTTTTTTTTATTTTCAAATATATACTTGGGAAGCTGAGGCACAAGAATTGCTTGAGCCTGGGAGGCGGAGATGTTTTAAAGATAAACACACATGTTTTAAAGATAACCATAATGGCATATGCTGACATACTAAATTTACAAGTTGAAAGAAATAATGAAGTCAAAATTACTCTCAAAATGTTACCTGACAAAGAGTGTGGTGTTGCCATTAACTAAGATAGGGAAGACTGGGAAGAAAAAACGTGGAGGAATAGATTAGAAGTTCAATTTCAGAGAAGATAAGTTTCTACAAATAACCTGTTGGATATATAGGTATGAATATCAGAGGAAAGAGCTGGGCTATAAAAACAGATTATGAGATATTGTCTATTGGTTGATATTTGAAACCATGGAATTGAGCGAAATTTCCAAGCAAGTGAGAATACATAGAGTATATAAATGGAACACAGATTGAAGCCTGAGACAGGCAAACATTGGTCATGAATATGAAGAGGATTCTGAGAAGGAACAGGGAGTGAGGTTGATGGAAACCAGACAAGTGTGGTCACCAAGAAGCCTATGCCAAGAAAGTCAAATACGAGGAAAGAAATCAAATTCTGCTGGTGATTTAAGATGAGACTTAAGAATTTTCTTTTGGATATTTTATGAATGTTACTGGTGACCTTGGCAAGACAGATTTTTAAGAATTGTAAGGAAGAGTCTATTAAAGTAGATTCATAAGAGTATGAGGAAAAAGTATCTGAAAATGGTATAGGAAAAAAATAGAGAAGTTATTCTTGAAAATGAATTTAAAAAGTGGGATAGTAGCTGAGTGAAGAAGTGAGAAACAACAGAATTTTTTGTTTGCTGTGAAAGACCCAATAGGGAAAAAACCCCCTGATGTTTCCAAAGAAATTGGGGGCAGGTATGGCTGGAGTTATTTTCTTGAGTAGGCATAATGAGATGATTAGCAGGCAGATAAAGCAGCTACCTAATATTCATTAATACTGAATGACAGGGGATAAGTTAGGGTTAAATATATGACAAGAATGACATCAATGTCAAAAGGGTTGTGTGTGGTATCAAACATATATTCTTTGGTTAGAGGATGTTATATGTATTGACTTACTATACCTTGCCTTGATTAGAGGATAATATGTGAATTGACTTACTGTAGACTTCGATAAATTATATATACATGATAAAATTAAAAATTTAATTTTTCTGAAAATAGAGAAATATAGTATATTATTTACATAAAACAAAAATAAGAAAAAAGAGGGGACAACAATGAGATACAAAGAAGCAAGTAAAGAAAGAGCAAATCTAAAGCAAAAAGCTAATTAGTAAAAATGAAATAATTAGAAATCTGAAAATAATTAAAATACTATGAAACATAAACATTAATCTGTGTTCTTTCAGGTGGCACAAATTTAAAAAGAAACAAAGCAAAAACCAGATGTATTAGTGGTAAAAATACCATCATATACTGGAAACATTTCATAAACTTTTCCTTCATTGCTGCATTTGCTTTCTTCACTCCTGCTGAATAAATTATTTTCCTAAATTTTATATTATTTTGTTCTTTCTTTCCATCTTTCTTTCATGGATTTCAGCCCTTGTGTATGTATCCTAAATAAAAGTATTTTGCTTTGGACAGAGTGGGGAAGATATGTGGCCTCATCATGAGCGATCATATTCATACAAAGTTGGTATCATTTAGATCCAAATAGTACTAAATATATTAGTCCGTTCTTGCACTGCTATTAAAAACTTACCTGAAATTGGATAACTTATAAAGAAAAGGGGTTTTATTGGCTTACAGTTCTGCCGGCTAGCTTCTGCTCAGCTTCTGAGGAGGCCTCAGGAAGCTTACAATCATGGTAGAAGGCAAATGGGGAGTGAACACCACACATGGCCAGTGCAGGAGGAAGAGGGGAGGTGCCACACACTTTTAAACAACCAAATATCCTGAGAAGTCACTCACTATACAGTACCAAGGGGATATGGTGCTAAACCATTCATAAGTACTCTGCCCCATGATCCAACCACCTCCCACCAGGCCCCACCTCCAGCATTGGGGATTACATTTCCATATGAGATTTGGGTGGGGACACAGATCCAAACCATATCACTAAAGATCTCATTTAGTCTAAGTCTGGTTTTTATAATAGCTTGGAAAGTGGTTTTGAAAAACAAGTTAATGTATATAGAAAAATTGATATGAAGTACAACAAAATTAAAATATACACATTATTTTATTATAATAATTAAAAAGATAAAAACAAGAAACTGTCTCATGGATGCTTTAAAAAACAACCACAATTCTCTAACGACCAGTGATGATGAGCTTTTTTTCATATGTTTGTTGGCCGCATAAATGTCTTCTTTTGAGAAGTGTCTGTTCATATCCTTCACCCACTTTTTGATGGGGTTGTTTTTTTTTTTTTCTTGTAAATTTCTTGAAGTTCCTTGTAGATTCTAGATATTAGCCCTTTGTCAGATGGGTAGATTGCAAAAAATTTCTCCCATTCTCTAGGTTGCCTGTTCACTCTGACGATAGTTTCTTTTGCTGTGAAGAAGTTCTTTAGTTTATTTAGATTCCATTTTTCAATTTTGCCTTTTGTTGCAATTGCTTTTGGTGTTTTAGTCATGAAGTCTTTGCCCATGCCTATGTCCTGAATGGTATTGCCTAGATTTTCTTCTAGGGCTTTTTATGGTTTTAGGTCTTATGTTTAAGTCTTTAATCCATCTGAGTTAATTTTTTGTATAAGTGTACACCATTTATTAAATAGGGAATCCTTTCCCCGTTGCTTGTTTTTGTCACGTTTGTCAAAGATCAGATGGTTGTAGATGTGTGGTGTTATTTCTGAGGGCTCTGTTCTGTTCCATTGGTCTATATATCAGTTTTGTTACCAGTACCATGCTGTTTTGGTTACTGTAGCCTTGTAGTATAGTTTGAAGTCAGGTAGCGTGATGCCTCCAGCTTTGTTCTTTTTGCTTAGGTTTGTCTTGGCTATACAAGTTCTTTTTTGGTTCCATATGAAATTTAAATTAGTTTTTTCCAATTCTGTGAAGAAAGTCAATGGTAGCTTGATGGGGATAGCATGGAATCTATGAATTATTTTGGGCAGTATGGCCATTTTCACAATATTGATTCTTCCTATCCATGAGCATGGAATGTTTTTCCATGTGTTTGTGATTGCTCTTATTTCCTTGAGCAATGGTTTGTAGTTCCCCTCGAACAGTTCCTTGACATCCCTTGTAAGCTGTATTCCTAGTTCTTTTATTCTTTTTGTAGCAATTGTGAATGGGAGTTCACTCATGATTTGGCTTTCTGTTTGTCTGTTATTGGTGTATAGGAATGCTGTGATTTTTGCATACTGATTTTGTATCCTGAGACTTTGCTGAAGTTGCTTATCAGCTTAAGGAGATTTTGGGCTGAGACAGAGTTTTCTCAAAGTCAGAAAACAACAGATGCTGGAGGGGATATGGAGAAATAGGAATGCTTTTACACTGTTGGTAGGAGTGTAAATTAGTTCAACCACTGTGGAAGACAGTGTGGCGATTCCTCAAGGATCTAGAACTAGAAATACCATTTGACCCAGCAATCTCATTACTGCATATGTACCCAAAGGATTTTAAATCGTTCTACCATAAAGACACATGGACATGTATGTTTATTGAGGCACTATTCACAATAGCAAAGACGTGGAACCAACCCAAATGCCCATCAATGATATACTGGATAAAGAAAATGTGGCACATATACACCATGGATTACTATGCAATCATAAAAAAGGATGAGTTTATTTCCTTTGCAGGGACATGGGTGAAGCTGGAAACCATCATTCTCAGCAAACTAACACAGGAACAGAAAACAAAACACCAGATGTTCTCACTCATAAGTGGGACTTGAACAATGAGAACACATGGACACAGGGAGGGCAACATCAGACACCAGGGCCTGTCTGGGGATTGGGGACCTAGGGGAGGGATAGCATTAGCAGAAATACCTAATGTAGATGATAGGTTGATGGGTGCACCAAACCACCATGGCACATGTATACCTATGTAACAAACCTGCACATTCTGCACATGTATCCCAGAACATATATATATATAAACATAAACCCACACTTTTAATCCTGACTACTTTGACTATATCTGCAGTTTTCTTTAAAATTTTTTGGCTAAAATTTCAAAGATCAAATAAATTAATTGTTTTAAAAAAACATATATTTACTGAAGTGGATGGAAAATTCAGAAAAAGCACACTTTTTGACATGAGTTTCAAAAATAATTATCACATGCTGAAAATTTACGTGCTGAGATGCAGGTGATTACTATAAGCAATATTTTTAAGAGTTTCATCTTTGATTCAAGAGGAATAAGTGGGACTCATGGTTTAGATATGTCATTTATGTGACCTTGAAGAATGAGTGACCTTGAGTCATTCTTGAGTTCCGGGTATGCCATGTTACCATATGTCACTATTAGAGCGTACCTTCATAACATTTTTATTCCTCAGAGATTACACAAACCTAACTTAATTACATGATGTATATGCTTCTGTGAAAAATGTCTTAGCTTTCTACTCGTTTGTCAGCCTTTTTTTTTTTGAAATTTGAGAGATGTTTTCCAAATCCAGGCTTCCCTAATGTATCTCGGATTTTTCCTGTTAGTAGCAGATCTTCTCAGTTTGCCCTTTTAGTTGCTGGTCTCAGCCTTAGTGAATGATAGTGATAGAAGCAGAATAATAATGATAATATTATAATAAAATATATATAATAATAATGAAAATATTAATAATAGTACTATTAACGTGAGATACCAATAATTAGCTAATAAGGAATCATTAATAATATTACTAATAAATAAGTGGTATGTATATCACCTGGTAATTGATATGTATATCACATGGTAATTACATGGGTATTTAATTAGTAATTAATTAGTTTATTGAGTAAATAATAGTGAATAATTGCAGGGGTTTTTTTGTGTTTCCAGATTATCAAAGAGTGCAGAAAAAATATTGATTACCTGACACTCAAGGTTGAATGAAAAATGAAGATTTAGGAGTGATAGCATAAAATAATCAACTTGAAATAAAAATAGAGACATATCTTCAAGCAAAAGATTTTTGGGGGAATATACAAATAATAGAATTATAATTTGTGACATGTTATGACATGTCCAGAGACGGGGTGGCCATTGGTATGTCTGGAGAGCAAAGTAAGAGGTTGTATTTTATTGGAGAAAGAATAAGAAATCATCTAATTTGGGGATGTTTGAATTAGCTTGTTGGTAAACTTTTTTTTTGAATTTTAATTTTCATCTCAAATTATACAGTTAAATGCCATGGGACAAAGTTATGAACAGATGTCTTTACAATTCTGAGGTGTGTCATTAATTGCAGTTTTTCACTGCAAAAATATTGTGTCTATATTTTTTAAAGACAATGCAAATATGCTATTTTTCTTCTCTAGGGATCTTTATTTTCTTTCTTGACATTTAATACTTTTCTGATTGTTTTTTCTTTTGGTAAAGAGGAAAATACATCAAACATTATTTCATTTGTCAACTCAAACAGTGGATATCCATTTACAGAGCTTTTATTCTAGCATTTTTTTTTAATCTCAGAAGAATAAAATAAAGCTAGATGGTCACGTGAATGACAAGCAAGACCCAAGATACCAAAACCAGTCTCTTTGGCACTATCCTCAAGACATGAAATGATGGTATTCACTAAAGTGCATTTTCTGATTAATTATGCTGAAGGCATCAGTTAAATTGGATCTAGTCAAATAAAGCCAGACATAGAGTCATCCAATTTAGCTATTAAAAGATTGTTAAGTACATTTACTAATGTAATTTTGTTTGAGGAGCAGGGTCTCCAGATATTTTGAAGTCCAGAAATTTTTTAAAAAATTTATTCCTCAAGATGACAGAATAACCAATAATAGTTGAGAAAATAAAAGCCTACAAAAGCAGGAAGCAGTTAAAAAGAAGCATCTTCCTTTGAAATAAGGAACCACCAAATGTGATTACAGGTTGGTTTCCTTCTCAGCAGTCTGGGTGAAAAAATTTTTTTCACATTGGTTTATTGATGCTAGTTTGCCGAGCTTTTAAATATTTTATTCAATTTTAATGTTTATTTTATTATGTTTTTAACTGTAGTGTATTTTTAATGTGAGACTCAAAAGGGGGTCTTTTTAAAATTTAATTATTAATTATAATAAAGCCATAAAGAAATATTCCACAATGAAAGGATAAATTAAGAATTTATAATAAGAAAAAAATATAGGAGTCTATCGATCATATGAAAAGATAATGCACACTATTTAGAAAGAAAAATAGACATGAATAGAACAAGTGGCTGAAGAGATAATTTTTAAGAATTGAGGTATCAAGGATATCGACAATAGCTACTCTAGTTAACATTTCTAAAACCAAAACTTTAGCTATAGAGCTTCAGCTTTGTAGGATAAAACAAGTAAATCAAAATTAAATCGTCATTATTAGCATTGTTTATCACACATATATTTTTAAAATCCATAATGCAATTTTAAATATTTATAAGGAGGCACTGTCTGTACTTCCAGCTGGCCAAATTTCTACTTTAGGTCCATAAACATAAAATGTTCTTAGCATAGCTAAAATGATCAAAGAATAGCAACTGAGTTAGCTTACCATTCTATCATCTAGAAATGATGTGCTTTTGTTTTTTTTTATTTTATTTAACTTTAAAATGGTTGAAATGTTTGATGGCTAGCAGGAAGGTTTATGAGAGGTGTCCTGTTGAGTTGTGAGTCGCAATAGCCAGATTGAGGATAGCTGAATCAAACTTAAGGATCAGTAAAGTTCAAAGAATCCCTGAGGAGCAAGAGTTTGGATACAGATGAATAGTGAGAATCACAGCAAGAAGCACAACAGACACCAGGCAGACTGATGATAACAGACATAGAGAAATGTGGGAGTGCAATAAGGTAGCATGTTCAAATGGGAAACGAAAAGAAAAAAAAAACATCGGGATGTAGAGGCCAGTGCAAATTAACAAGTGGTAGTTAAAACATACCAGGAATTAGAAGGCATCTTTACATTAACCTAACATGTTGTTAAATCTTGATATCAGGATTCTTTTAGGTGCAGGTGGCAGAAAACCCTTAAAGTGGTTTATAAAAATTAATGGCAATAAAAAGTGTTAGGGTAGGCTGTAGGTTTGTTATGATTAAAGGGTCAGGATTGTCATCAGGTCAAAGTTCTTTCTTTTTCTTTGTTCCACAGTTTTCTGTGTTCTTCTATACCTGGTTCCTATTGCGGTAAAAAAAAAATGACTAGTGGAGGACATATTTCCTTGCATAGTGTTCTTCTGGAGAGATAGCTAAACAGCATTCTCTTAAATATGCAACACTACAAGACAACAGCAACAAAATTTTTCCCTTCGACACAATTGACCCCATTTAGTTCAGGAGACCTAAACCAAAAACTTGTCTGGAAAATGCCGTACATTAATTGGATTGAACTTATCAGAATTTCTACTCTGAATATGGAGATAAGAGAGATAATTGAAGAAAACTGAGGCATTGGGATTAGGGAGGAAGGGGAGAAATAATGTGGTCATCTGCTGAATGTGAAAAATTGACTTGTTTTAGTTTAGAATAGGAATAAGCACATAGCTAGAACTTGGTGAACATGATATGAGCAGTAGGGGATATTTTGGCTATTTGCTTAATAACATTTTCTTTGGAATGTGGTCATGGGTACAACATGGGTACAAATTATGATGCTGTCACTTTTCATTTTTGAGACCTAGAGAAATTATTTAGGCTTTTTATAGCCTTATTTTCTTCTTTTCCCAATAGGCATAACAACAGTATCTTTATCTTGGAGATAAACCATATAATGTACACAGAACCAAGCCTGGCCCATTGAAAGGGGTTATTGTTATAGTAATTAATGTTGCTGTTCTTTATTACGTTTTCATTATTCTTTTGTTTGTTTTTAGATAAACTCTTGCAACAATTGAAATTATGACTGAATAGAGAATGAGAGGTTCTAATATATAGGTGCAGAGACAAGGAAGGAATTTTGAAGCGCAAATTACAATCAAGGATAATTTTTAAATTAGTAGTAGTAGTTGTATTTGAGATTAGCACGATGAAAATAAGACTTTCTCATCAATGAGTATGGTAAAGAGGTCGCAGACTAATCAGGATAATGATGTATTCTTAAAGATCATTAGCACATACCTGCTCTTTGTTATCGGGCACAGTAAGATGTACTTTTTGAGCAGGGTGTGGTGGCTCACGCCTCTATTCCCAGCACTTTGGGAGGCCAAGGTGGGCGGATCATGAGGTCAGGAGATTGAGACCATCCTGGCTAACACGGTGAAACCCCGTCTCTACTAAAAATAGAAAAAATTAGCCGGGTGAGGTGGCAGGCACCTGTAGTCTCAGCTACTTGGGAGGCTGAGGCAGGAGAATGGTGTGAACCCGGGAGGCAGAGCTTGCAGTGAGCCGAGATTGTGCCACTGCACTCCAGCCTGGGTGACAGAGCCAGACTCTGTCCCCACCCCCCCAAAAAAAAAGAAAGAAAAGAAAAAGGAAAAAAAAAAGTTGTACTATTCAAAATACTGCATCAGGTTTTCTATATTATTTAGTATCACATTTAATGTATAAACTATTTCTCATAATTTAGTTTCCTAATGCCTATATATTTTTATTTAGCTTTGTGATTGTTTCACTAGCAAAAAAATCATTAAAAAATACAAGAGGCTTGAACATTAATACGAATTTTTCCATCAGAAAAATAGTATATTTGGAAAAACTAACCAAATAAGAATGTGCAATATCTGAGGAAACTAGTAATTATTTCACAACCACTTATGATTTTACACCCCACTGAGAGCAGAATGTGTGCTTAATTTGTGTGACATAACTTGTTCTTTGCTCGGTGACTGGTCCTGAGGGGTAGGAAATTATACCACAGTAAAATAATTAAAGGATATAGCCTAAAAGTAAGCTTAAGTTTTGTAGCTAATTTTTCTCAGGCCAAACTAATAAGAGGACACTTGAAATAAAAGAGCAACAATAATGCCATTGCAATGATAATTACTGATTAATAATGTATGCCTAGACAGGAGTCTGAAGACAAAGTAGAAGTTATTGTGTAATTATTTTATGACATGGAAAAGTCTAAAGTGAAAGGACATCAACAATCTTAAAGATATTTACAGATAACTACTCTTTTAACAATTCCTGCTTTTCTGATTTCTAGTAATTAGTAACTTTCAACGATTTATATGGTTAAAAAATAAATTAAATTACACAGGAAAGTTTATATTCATAGATAATATATTTAATTGGACTTTTGTGTTAAAAGCTATATATAGCTTTACAGTTTATCCAGTATAAAACCCTCCGAGTGATTCAAACATGAAAAATACCATACAGAATTCAAACTCCTACTGCCTTTAGTGACGCTATTTTACTATGTTTCAGTCTCTAAACGATTTTTGTTTAATGTCCACATGTCTACAGAATGTAGAGGATGTTTCTAAGGAAAGCCACAGTAGAAGAATAGTTTTTTTTTCTCCCATTTTAAAGGGGAGAAGGAAGAGGATGGCCGTGCTACAATAGAGCGTCAAAAGATCTCTTATAAACCAGGACCCAAAGAGCGTATCACAGCTTGTCAAGGCCTCTGAAGACAATTGCTTGTGCCAGTTTCCTGTTACAGTAGCAGCCTGGCCTCTGCAAGTTCTCATGATCAAAAACATTGATTAGTTCTTGTCATAGGCCTTCAGTCTCCCTCTAGCTTCTAATTAAGTCCCGCCTACATTCTGCTCTGCTGGGCACCCCCTCTGTTACAGTGTTATAGATTCAGTAAATTCCATGCTGTACCTCATCACCCTCCCTGGCTAAAAGACAATCACTAAGGCTTGGCTAGAGAAAACAGAGGGTGGGAGAAGGTAGCCATTGTAGATTTTACCACAACTGATTACTAAAACTCCAAATTAAAATTGCTTAAAATGTGAATACTCACAAGTCTGTTCATATAATGATTTTTAACTCTGCATATTACATTCTAGCTCCATGAAGGCTTATATATACAGTTCTTCAAAGTAGAATGCATATATTTTTGTTACCTTGATTACTTATTACCTTGAACCACAGATGTACCCAGAACATTGCACTTTACAAAGATATAATTTCTATTTAAATACAGTGAATAAATGACTGGTAGAATGGTAGAAAAGTGTCATGGTTGAATACGGATGCTATAGTTAGGATTTATATCCTTGTTTTGACAACCACTTTATCTGTAGCCTAAAGCATTTCTAAGCTTTTCTTATGAGAAAAGGGAGAATAATAATAATACGTATCTTGTAGCATTGCTGTAAAAATAAACAGTGTTTTAAAAAATAAAATAATTCATACAATGTGCTTAGCATTCACTAATCAGCATCAGATAATTATTAATAATATTAGTAGTGGTACATTATAATAATACCCATAAGCGTCTCAATTTTGTGGATTTTTCTGCAGCAAATTTTTTGCTCCAGATTTGCTTTCTTTTACTAATTTAGAGTTCATTTCTCTGTGTCACCATTTGTACATGATTCAGTTTTGTAATCTAATAAATACCATTCTAATAAAAATATTAGTAAGATATAAAAGATACAATATAAAATTTTCAGGTAATCAATTTAAAATCAAAACAGATATTACTTGGTTATCTGCATCTCTTCCCATTACCATGGATACTTGGAAGTATCTATGTATTCATTAATAAGTGTCTTAGTTTGTTTACTGTTGCTATAACAGAATACCTGAGACTGAGTAGTTTATAAAGAACAGAGGCTCATTTGGCTCACAATTTTGGGGGCTGGAAAGTTCAAGATTGGGCCTGTGCATCTGCTGAGGGCCTCAGGCTGCTTCAACTCACAACAGAAAGTAAAAAGGCAGCCTTCATGGGCAAGATACCACACAGGGAGAGAGAAAGCAAGAAAGAGGGAGGGGCCGGGCTCTTTTTAACAACTAACTCTTGTGTTAACTAACAGTGAGCACACTCACTTTGAAGAGAGGTCAATAATCTATTCCTGAAGGATACCACCTCATGATTCAAACACCTCCTACCAGCCCCCACATCCCAACATTGCAACATTGGGGATCAAATTTCAACATAAGTTTTGGAAGGGACAAACATCCAACTCCAGCAGTGAGACTTAACGTATTCTGTGCCTCAAATATATTTGAGTAAGCACAAACAACATTTTATTGTGAAAAAAGCCTATAGTAGGCTTTTTTTATAACATTAGTATTATTAAATATATATGAAATAAATGCATAGTCCAAGGTTACCAAGCATATACATTGACTAGATGATCTAGGAGCCCAAAGTATTGACTCTCAGAAAGACCACAACAATCTTTCTTTCCTTGCCCTCTTGTAATTTGTCTATCTCAAGCCTTCACTAATTAAAAAGTGAATTATTTCATTAAAAATATCAGATACCATGCCTAAATTATATTTACAAAGATAAAACTATGAATTTAAAGCCTGAAATGATTTAATATGTAGTAACAGCATATATAGATATATATGCTGTGACCATATATATTAAATTATATTACATTAATTAATGTATTTATTCATTGCCATCTAAACTCAAACTCATACGAATTCACAAAAAGGGAAACCTTGTTTACTCATTTAGCATCATTACAGATTTTGGCTTTGTTGTGAGACCTTATCATATCATGAGCCATAAATACATTTAGAATGCTGTCCCAAAGTTTAATTTTAAATCTGTTTCCTGGAATAGGTGGAGCAATACGGCAGAATAGAAGGCATCACCAATCATCACCCCCCTACAACAACAACTACAATTTAAGAATTATCTACACAAAAAAAAGCACGTTAAAAAAAAATTAGATGAGCACTCATAATACTTAGTTTTAACTTCCTATCATTGAAAGAGACACTGAAGGGGTTTTAAAACACATCCATTAATTGCTGATACCACCCCTCTCTCATCCCTCAGCAGCAGCAGCAGCCTAATGTGGAGAGTGTTTCTGTGCCACGGGGAGAGGGAGAGCCAGCAATTGTGAGTCACTGAACTCAGTGCTGCCCTCGTTATAGCAGAAAGCAAAATGAGATCAAACTGATTCCTGCCCATGGAGGGAGCATTTAAACCAGCCCTAGGCATAGGGGGATTGCCAATCATAAGGGGTTGAAATGTGAGTTCCTGCCAACCTTGCCACTGTGAGCTAAAGTACCCTGGGGCCCCAAATAAACTTGAAAGGCAGTCTAGGCCATAAGAACTGCAGCTCTTTGGCAAGTCTTAGGGCTGAACTAGGCCCAGAGACAGTAGACTGGGAGGGCATGTGACCTACTGAGACACCAGCCAGGATGGCAAAGGGAAGACTGGCATCACCACTCCACTAACACCAGGCTGCACAGCTCACAGCTCCAAAAGATACCTCTTTCTTCTGCTTGAGGAGAGGAGATGGAAGAGTGAGGAGGACTTTGTCTTGCATCTTGGATACCAGCACAGCCAAAGCAGTATAAGGCACCAGTCAGAGTCATGAGACCCCCTTTCCACCCTGCTAGTTCCTGAACATTTCTAGACACTCCCTGGGCCATAAAGAAATTAGCTGCCTTGAAGGGAAGGAACCAGTCCTGGCAGGATTTATTGCCTGCAAACTGAAGAGTCCTTGGGGCCTAAATGGCAAGCAGCAATACCCAGGTACTATGTTGAGGGTCTTGAGTGAGACTCTAACTTGCTGGCTTCAGGCGAGACTCAGCACATTATCAGCTGTGGTCAGCTGTGGTGCCTATTGGGCAAGACTCCTTCTGCTTGAGAAAAGTGGAGGGACAAGTAGAGGGGATTTTGTATTATGCCTTAGGTACCAGCTCAGCCACAGGGGTGTGGAGAACAAAGTGGGCTTTTGGGGCACTTGATTCTGTGCTTGGCTCTTGGATGTCATTTCTGAACCTGCTCCGGGCCAGAGGGGAGACCATTTCCCTGAAGGGTGAGTCCCAAACCAGGAAGTATTCACCACAAACTGAGTGAGGAACCCTTAGCCTTAAGGGAACATCAGCAGTAGCCTGCAGTGCTTCCTGTAGGCCTGAGGTGGCAGTGGTCACGGGGTGAGGATCCTCTGACTAGGAGGAGGGAGGAGTGGGAAGGGGTGTGTCTTGTGGTTTGAATGCCATCTCAGCCACAGTACAATAGAAAACCAGGTAGACTTCTAAGGTTTTTCACTCTACTCCCTGGCTCCTAGATGGTACCTCTAGACCTGAGTGTGGCCTGGAGAAACTCCCTGCTCAGAAGGAAAGGACGTAGGTCTGGTTGGCTTTGCACCTGCTGATTGTAGAGCCTAAGGGCTTTAAGTGAACATGAGTAGTAGACAAAGAGTGGTTACAGCAGGCTTTGGGAAAGACCCAGCAGTGTGTTAACTTCAGATCTGACCCAGCGCAGTCCTAGGGTTGGTGGCCACAGGGGTGCTGGTGTTATACCACTCCAAGCTCCAGGTCCTCTCAAAAGCAAATAATGCTTAGATCACAATTCCGAAATCTTTTCAAATATCTGGAAAGCCTTCCCAAGAAGGATGAGTACAAACAGTCCAGACTGCAGAGACTACAATAAATGCCTAGCACTTCAGTGCCTAGACACAGACAAACATCTGCAATTATGAAGATGATCCACAAAAACATGACCTCACCAAATGAACAAAATAAGGTACCAGGTACCAGAGATATGGCACCTTTTAGACAGAGAAATCAAAATAGCTGTTTTTAGGAAACTCAAAGAAATTCAGGAGAACATAGCAAAGGAATTCAGAATCCTATCAGTTAAATTAAATAAAAATTTAAAGTAATTTTAGAAAAATCAATACCAAATTTTGAAGTTGAAAACTGCAGCTGGCATACTAAAGAATGCATGAGAATCCTCTAATAGCAGAATTGATCAAGCACAAGAAAAAATTAGTGAGCTTGACAGGCTATTTGAAAATAGCCTGTTAGAGGAGACAAAAGAAAAAAGAATAAAAACAATGAAGCATGCCTACAAGATCCAGGAAAAAAAAAGCCTCAAACGGGAAAATAAGAGATATTGGCCTCAAGGAGAAGACTGAGAAAGGGATAGGAGTAGTAAGTTTATTCAAAGGGATAATAACAGAGAACTTCCCAAACATAGAGAAAGATATGCATATTCAAGTACAGGAAGGTTATAGAACACCAAGCAGATTTAACCTAAAGAAGACTACCTTAAGGCATTTAATAATCAAACTTCCAATGGTCAAAGATATAAAAAAAGTTTCATAAAAGCAGTAAGAGACAAGAAATAAATAACATAAAATGGAGCTTCATTACTTCTGGCAGCAAACTTTTCAGGAAATTGTACAGGCTAGGAGAGAATAACATGACATATTTAATGTGCTGAAGGAAAAAAAACCTTTACCCTAGAATAGTGTATGTAGTAAAATTATTCTTCGAACATGAAAAAGAATTAAAGTTTCCCAGATGAAAGCCGATTCCATCAACACCAGACCTGTCCTTCAAAAAATGCTAAAGAGAGTACTTCAGTCAGAAAGAAAAAGATGTTAATGAGCAGTAAGAAATCATTAGAAGGTACAAGACTCACTGGTATTAGTAAGTACACAGGAAAACACAGAATATTATAACACTGTAACAGTGATGTGTTAACTATACTTATTGTAAGTAGAAAGGATAAATGATCCAATCAAAAATAATAATTACAACATATTTTCTAGACATATTATAATAAGATATAAATAGTAAAAACAGAGTTAAAAAGTGGGTGAATGAATTTAAGGTATAAAGTCTTCATTAGTTTTCTTCTTGGTCATTTGTTGGTTTATGCAAACAGTGTCATTAGGTTATAAGAAAGTATTTGCAAGCCTCATGGTAACTTCTCACCAAGAAACATACAATAGAAACACAAAAAAATAAAAACCGAGAAACTAAATAATTTCAACAGAGAAACTCACCTTCACTAAAGGAAGACAGGAAGGAAAGAAAGAAGGAAGAGAAGAACACAAAACAACCAGAAAACAAATAACAAAATGGCAGGAGTAAGCCCTTACTTACCAGTAATAACACTGAATGTCAATGGAATAAACTTTCCAACTGAAAGTGATAGAGTGGCTGAATAAATTAAAACAAAACAAAACAAAACAAGACCCATTCATCTGTTGCC
Organism: Homo sapiens; assembly: GCF_000001405.40. NCBI lineage: Eukaryota > Metazoa > Chordata > Mammalia > Primates > Hominidae > Homo > Homo sapiens. The sequence continues at coordinate 97,681,834 of NC_000011.10, read as the reverse complement.
TACAAGAAACACACTTCACCTATAAAGACACACATAGACTGAAAATATAGGATGGAAAAAGATATTCCATGCCAATGAAAACCAAAAAAGAGCAGGAGTAGTTATATTTATATCAGACAAAATAATTTTTAAAACAAAAACTGTAAAAAGACAAAGAGGCTGGCATGGTGGCTCAAGCCTGTAATCCCAACACTTTGGGAGGCTGAGGCAGGCAGATCATGAGTCAGGAGTTTGAGACCAGCCTGACCAACATGGTGAAACCCCATCTCTACAAAAAGTACAAAAATTAGCCAGGTATGGTGGCGGGCACCTGTAATCCCAGCTACTCAGGAGGCTGAGGCAGGAGAATCACTTGAACCTGGGAGATGGAGGTTGCAGTGAACCGAGATCACGCCATTGTACTCCAGCCTGGGTGACAGAGCAAGACTCCATCTCAAAAAAAAAAAAAAAAAAAGAGACAAAGGATATTATTATATAATAATAAAGGGGTAAATTCAGCAAGAGAAAATTAGAATTATAAAGATATATGCCCCAAACACTGAAGCACCCAAATATATAAAGCAAATATTATTTTAAAGAGTGAGCTTGACTCCAATACAATAATAGTTGGAGATTTCAACACCCTACTTTCAGCATTAGACAGATATTCCAGACAGAAAATCAACAAAGGAATATCTGATTTAATCTGCACTATGGATCAAATAAATCTTATAGATATTTACAGAACATTTCATCCAATAGCTGCAGAATACACATTCTTTTCCTCAGCACATGGATCATGCTCTAGGATATATACCATATGTTAGGCCACAACACAAGTCTTAAATAATTTTAAAAAATTGAAATAATATCAATTATATTCTCTGACCACAATGGAATAGAACTAGAACTAGATAACAAGAGAAATTTTGGAGACTACACAAATACATGAAAATTAAACAATATGCCCCTGAATGAACAGTGTGTGAATGAAGAAATTAAGAAGAAATTTCTTGAAACAAATGATATTGAAAGCAACATACTAAAACCTATGGTACACAGCAAAAGCAATACTAAGAGGGATGTTTATAGCTATAAGCAGTTATAAGTACCTACATCAGAAAAGAAGAAAATTTCAATAAACAACCCAACAATGAATCTTAAAAATTTGAAAGAGCAAACCAAACCGAAAATTAGTAGAAGAAAAGAAATAATAAATATCAGAGCAGATAAAAATGAAATTGAAATGAGGAAAACAAAACAAAAGATCATTGAAACAAAAAGCTGGCTTTTTGAAAAGTGAAACAAAATTGACAAACCTTTAGCCAGACAGTTATCAGAAAAAAGAGGGAAAATCCAAATAAATACAGAGATGAAAAAGGAGACATTACACCTGATAGCACAGTAAACCAAAGGATCATTAGTGGCTACTATGAGCAACTATATGTTAATAAATTAGAAAATTTAGGAGAAATGGACAAATTCATACAACCTACCAAGATTAAACCACAAAAAAATCCAAAACCTGAAGAGACCAATAACAAGTGATGAGATCAAAGCCTTAATAAAAAGTCTCAAAGTAAAGAAAAGCCTAGGACCTGATGGCTTCACAGCTCAATTCTACCAAACATTTAAAGAAGAACTAAATGTTTGGTTTAGTTCTTCCTACTCAATCCTGCCATTCTGAAACTATTCTGAAAAATAGAGGAAGAAGGAATATTTCCATACTCATTCTATGAGGCCAGTTTTACCCTGTCACCAAAACCAGAGAAAGACACCTTAAAAAAAGAAAACTATAGGCTAATATCTCTGATGAACATAGATGCAAAAGTCCTCAACAAAATACTTATAAATCAAATACAACAATACATTAAAAAGATCATTCATTATGACCAAGTGAGATTTATCCCAGGAATGTTAGCATGGTGCAAAATATGCCAATTAATCAATGTGACCCATCATATCAACAGAATGAAGGATAAAAATCATATGATCATTTAAATTGATGCTGAGAAACCATTTGATAAAATTCAACATCGCTTCTTGATAAAAGCCCTGAAAACTGGGGGTAGAAGGAACATATTTCAAAATAATGAAAGCCATATATAACAGACCCACAGCCAGTATCATACTGAATGAGGAAAACGTGAATGCCTTTCCTCTAAGATCTGGAACATGACAGGGATGCCTGCTTTCACCACTGTTATACAACGTAGTACTGGAAGTCTTAGCTAGAGCAATTAGACAGGAGAAATTAAGAACAAAAAGTTAAAAAGCAGGGGAATAAATTTAAGGCATAGTCTTTGTTAGTTTCCTTGTTACTTGTTTGTTTATGCAAACAATGTTGTTGTTCTCAGCATAAAATAATAGGTTATAAGACATATATTGTTATCACCTGTTAAAACTGGAAATAAAAAAGTAAAATTATCATTTTTGTTCCAGATTGTATGATCTTATATTTGGAAAAACCTAGAGACTCCATCAAAAAACTATTAGAACTGATAAACCAATTGAGTATATTTTGCAGGGTACAAAATATATATAGAAAAAAATAGGAGCATTTATATACCAATAGTGAAAAATCTAAAAAGAAATTTAAGTGTAATTCCATTTATAATAGCCACAAATGAATTAAATATCTATGGAAAAAATATTCCATGTTCATGGGTTGGAAAAATCAATATTGCTAAATGTCTATACTATGCAAAGCAATCTACAGATTCAATGCAATCCCTATGTAAAAACCAATGACATTTTTCACATAAATAGAAAAAACCCTAAAATTTATATGGAATCACAAAAGACCAACAATAGCCAAAGCTGTCCCAAGCAAAAAGAATAAATCTGGAGGAATCACTTTACCTGACTTCAGATTATACTACAGAGCTATAATAAACAAAACAGCAAGGTAGTGGCATAAAAACAGACACACAGATCAATAGAATAGAATAGAGAACCCCAAAACAAGTCCACACACCTGTGATGAACTCAGTTTCAACAAAGGTGCCAAGAAAAGACACTGGGGAAGACATTCTCTTCAATAAATGGTGCTAGGAAAACTGTATATCCATGTACAGAAGAATTAAACTAGACCCCTATATCTCACCAGATATAAAATTCAAATTAGAATGGATTAAAGACATTAATCTAAGACATCAAACTATGAAACTACTACAAGAAGACATTGGAAACATTTTCCAGGACATTGGTCTGGGCAAAAATTTCTTGAGTAACACCGCACAAGTACAGGCAACCAAAACAATAATGGAGAAATGGGATCTCATCAAGTTAACAAGCTTCTGCACAGCAAAATATACCATCGACAAAGTGAAGAGAGAACCCATTGAATGGGAGAAAATATTTGCAAACTACCCATCAGACAAGAGATTAATAACCAGAATGTGTAAGGAACTCAAAGAACTCTACAGGAAAAGAAGGGTCATAACCCAGTCAAAAAAAGAGCAAAAAATCTGAATACGCATTTCTCAAAATAAGACATAAAATGGCAAACAGGCATATGAAAAGGTGCGCAACATCACTGATCATCAGAGAAATGCAAATCAAAACTACTGGGAGATATCATCTTACGCCAGTTAAAATGGCTTTTATCCAAATGACAGGCAATAACAAATGCTGGCAAGGATGTGAAGAAAAGGAAACCTCATATATTTTGTTGGGAATGTGAATTAGTACAACCACTATGGAAAATAGTTTGGAGGTTTCTCAAAAAACTAAAAATAGAGCTTCCATATGATCCAGCAATCTCACTGCTGGGTATATACTCAAAAGAAATGAAATCAGTATATTTAAGATATCTGCACTGCCATGTTTTTTGCAGTTCTGCTCACAATAGCCAAGATTTGGAAGCAACCGAAGTGTCCATCAACAGCTGAATGGATAAAGAAAATGTGGTACTTGCACAAAATAAAGTGCTTTCCAGCCACTAAATAAATGAGATTCACACTTTTGCAATAGCATGGATGGAACTGGAGGTCATTCATTATGTTAAGTGAAGTAAACCAGGCACAGAAAGAAAAACATTGCATATCATTTATTTGTAGGATCTACAAATCAAAACAATTGAACTCATGGACATAAAGAGTAGAAGGATGGTTAACAAAGGCTGGAAAAGGTAGTGGATGGTGGGTTGAGGGGATGTGGATGGTTAATGGGTACAAAAAATATATAATGTGTAAATAAGGCCTAATATTTGATAGCACAACTGGGTAACTATATTCAATAATAATTTAACTGTACATTTTAAAATAAGTTAAGGAGTGTAATTAAATTATTTGTAACACAAAAGATAAATGCTTGAGAGGATGGATACCCCATTTTTCATGATGTGATTATTATGCATTGCATGCCTAATATAGCCCATAAATATCTATACCTATTATGTACCCACAGAAGTTATAATATCATATACCGAACTAGAAACTAGTTTTCTTGCCTGCCACTCCTTAAAACTAATAAACCTATTATACCTCCATCCCCCACAAAAAATAAATAAATCTGTTTCTTAAATTACTTCTTTTCTGGATTATTTGTGAAATAAAAAGTCACAGGAAACTGAAATCAATGTTGAGGCTATATAAGCAAAATAACTCTTTTCAGTCCTATTTGTCCCCCAAATAAACTCTGTAGAACACTGGAGCTTCAAATTTGCAATGTGATTATTCAGATACCAGCTGTTGACTATGATCTTGTCCAGTGATCATACCAAAGGTGGCCTGATAAAGTAAAATATTATATAATAAATAACTTGTGAATGTTAACATTGCCTTTAAAGTCAAAAGAGATGGTTTCTTGTCCCAGACTCTTTCACTTATTCCTTTATTTATGCATTCAATATTAATATTAATGAGCATTGCACTTTAGATCTTAGCACATGGCTTCTTACTTCAAGGACAAACAAATATTTGTTCGGGACACTGCAACTTATAAAATACAGTACTTAATAATGTGGCTAAATATTATAAGATTTAGTTCCTTTTCCTATAAATAAATTTAATAGAGTGTATTTAAAAGTTAATTTGGTAATTTACACAAGTAATACATGAAAAAAGGTCTTGTGAAACATAAAGTTCCATATACATGAAAAGTGTCATTTTTTCCTAAGATATTATTAGACAGTGACATTTGTATTGATAACCATAAAATACACTCTTAAATAAAATCTCAAATACCAAGAAAGGAAATGCCAAAGAAGCAGTAGAAAACAATTTGGAATAGAATTAATTTTATTCTTCTCGAGTTCTTAAAATTATATCTTCTGCTTCTTATATGCATATATATCTGACATTCTGCTAGGCTTACTGCAATTCCTTTGAAGTCATATTATGTATTCCTTATTTGAAACCTGTATGCTTGTGTTAAGATGAAATGCAGTTGACTTTGAGAGTAATATATATATATATATAAAGAGAATACAGTATACAGTACAGGACACCTTATTGTTAAAGTTATTTTCTCTTCATACAGAAGTCCACTGTAACCTTCACACAAACTCACAAGGTGCAATTACACATTTTCTGATAGACATAGACAAAAGACAGAAATGTCAGTAAGATGGTGCATTTTAAATTCAATGATTCTCTGTTATTTAAGGAAACAGAAGGAACGGTGACATGAACACATGGCTCATTACATAGGAATCTTGGTCTAGCCTGTTACTGATCCACGAACAGATTAAAATCTCTCTTCTGCCTTCAGTTATCTTCAGATCTTCCCTGTAATAATAATAATGAAATTCAAAAGAGCATTGAAAAAAATGTTGTTACAAAATGCATACCGAAGGCAGATGCTAAGGTCTGAATTTATCCCCTCAAAGCTCCAGGTACTGCCAACGTGATGGTATTAAAAGGTGATGCCTTTAAGAGGTGATTAGGCCAGGAGGGATAGGCTCTCACCCATGGGATTAAGGGCCTTGTGAAAGAAGCTTTGGCGAGCATTTGGCTAACTTGCCCTTCCACCTTCTGCCATGTTAGGATGCAGCATGAAGGCTGTCGCTAAACCAGATGCCATCACCTTGATCTTGGACTCCCTAGCCTCCAGAACTCTGAGAAATAAATTTTGGGCTTTTTAAACATTACCCAGATGAGATCGCACCACTCCACTCCAACCTGGGCAACAAGAGCGAAACTCAGTCTCGAAAAAAAAAAAAAAGAAAAAAAATTTTGTCCAGTCTCAAGTATTTTGCAATAGCAGCACAAAATGGACAAAGATGACAACCTATTTTAAATTTTACTAATAAATAATAAAATTATAAAAAAAAACTTGTATTATTGAGAAAAATTTAACTACTGGTATCTACCAAATTTCAACCTAACAAATAATTTGCCTTTTTTTACATTACATTAAAGACCAATTTTTTAAAACAAGCTAAAAGTCATGAACACTAAGGATGAGAATACAAAATTGTTTTGTCATTACAATCAGTTTTTTAATGTTTAGTAAATCATAATAAAATATTCCTGTTAAACCCATACCTTTAACTTTCTTTGCTTTGGTTCAATGTCATTAAATGATATTTGGCTTAAGGAAGTCTTCCTCTACTGTATGCACTCTCTTGAAATCCAAGCACAAAATAGAATTTGAACTGTGGCTACCATGCTTTTTCTGTGTTGAACTTGTGAGACGGCCATTCCCTAACAGTCACCTTGCACTAGCTTTTGTCTCAGAGCACATTCTCATATGACAGAAGAGTTAAGCTTCTTTCTACAAACCATCTGACTGCCTGAATTTCTTAATTAAGCGACTGAGAGCAGACAAAACTTACAATTTTTATTGATCCATAACTGGCATGCCTTTGCTAATGTAACTGAGTAAATTTTTCTTTTTTTTTAGACGGAGTTTCGCTCTTGTTGCCCACTGTGGAGTGCAATGGTGCGATCTCGGCTCACCGCAACCGCCGCCTCCCAGGTTCAAGCAATTCTCCTGCCTCAGCCTCCTGAGTAGCTGGGATAACAGGCATGTGCCACCATGCCCAGCTAATTTTTGTATTATTAGTAGAGATGGGGTTTCACCATGTCGGCCAGGCTGGTCTCAAACTCCTGACCTCGTGATCTGCCCATCTCGGCCTCCCAAAGTGCTGGGATTACAGGCATGAGCCACTGCCCTGGGCCAACTGAATAAATTTTTAATTCATTTTGTGTGTGTGCACGCATATGCATGCTAAAAATTGCCTCCTAAGTTTCCTTGATTGTTTTTTCCACCTGGGAGGAAAATTTCAGTTTTTTAATCCATATATTGAATAACAACGTGATCTTTTTATGGACTGTGGTATATTATAGATAAATAATTATTTAATTATTACAATAAAGCAAATGGCATAGTTGGTCAATTTGGATAATTCAATTTGTGTCCTCTTTTTTTAAAGTGTAAAATGAGTTTGCCCCTTTTACCTCCTCTGTTCCCCCATCTAATTGTCCAGGTGTGTAAAAATTCACAAGATATTCCAGAGCTCTAGGAACGACCTTAATGAACATTTATATTAACGTCTATCTAAAATCTTTCCCTTTTACTGAGATAATAGACATCACATTCCTTGCCCTTCAAATATCTCCACAAATACTGCTGTTGAGTTACCCTGAATCCACTAAGGGTGATGTTTGTGATTAGAGGAAGTTATTTAATATTTCTAAATCGATTAAATATCTGTAAAATTTAGATACTGGTAGTTCACAAGTAATAATTTTTTTGTGAGAATCAAATATATTTTTGGTATTATTATTTATTCCTTCAACCCATATCAAATTTCAGGCAGGGCACCTAATTCATGTTATGCCTGAGTTTCTTTGCCAGGACTTGCAGCACTGTCAAACTGATACCAATGATTATCCGCTTTTAGTGGAGAAAGTGTTTCATATATATGTATGTATATGAGAAGAAGATCTGAACTGTAGGAAACCAACTTTTCTGCCTAGTAGAGAAACTCAGTCCACATAAAGAGAACAAAACAATAAAGCCAATTTGGACAGAAAAGGAGATAGAAAACAGATCTTCCTATTCTATTGGATGTAGGTACCTGCTTTCAATTATTCCTGAAGTTGTGTTGAATAACCATACTTCCTACCGTTGGTTTTCAATCACTCTTTCGATTCTTTCAGCCAATGCAGTTCCTTTTTTCCCCAAACTATTTTGAGTTGGCCGTGTGTCACTTCTGACTACTAGAAGATAATAAAAAAATTTATGTTTGGGAATTGAACACAGGAAACCTGCTCAAATGATAAGCAATGTTAGTTTTGATGTAGTGATCTATACAACAAGAAAAAGTCAAGAGTTTAAATCTAAGATTTCTAGACCTATCAGGAGGGTAATGTGCAGGTTTTAAGTCTTCCTCCAAAGTTAGTTGAAATATCAAATTCCCTTTATGTATTTATCCATAAATCATCAACTGATTTTAATAATTTCTATCCTATTTGATATATTAATGAAGTATGATGACACACAAATCTAAATTTTATTCAGTGCTTTAAGTACAATGAAGGAATACTTGAGGTAAAATTCTATGCTCCCAGAATGACCAGTTGTCTCACTAAGAAGGAATACCCAATACATTTTGAAGACTACTTAAAAAAAAGGATGCTTTCTAGTCACGTATTTTATTTTAGCAGCTTTAATCACTGGCAATTATAGGAATTTTGAAAAATTGTGAAAAATGTGTTGCTGCGTGTGTGTGTGTGTGTGTGTGTGTGTGTGTGTGTGTATGTGTATGACAGTGAAATAGCCATAGGCTCAGTAAATTTGATTAAGGAAAAATAGTTTGAGTGTGTGAGCTCTTGTTGAAGAATTTAGTTAGGTAGCAGCAACTTTATCTCATTAAAATTAATCATTTATTAATCAAATCCTAGAAATATCTTTATAATTTAGATAATAATCTACGGATGTAATCCCTTAGATAAAGGTTACCTTTCAAGGTAGGGTGCTGGGGAAGTACTGGAGGTTGACAGTGGGTGTGGGGTGGAGGCCAGGTAAAACGAAATGGCTTTTTCATAGGAATCTGCCTCACATCAATTTCATTCTTTGAAAGATAGACTAAGCCAATCTAACCATAAAGTTTCAGCCACCTCAACACATGAAGTTTAAACGGAGTGACTATTATTCAAACTGCCCGAGTTCATCTGCCCATGTGTCATGCTGTTGTGTAGTGATTTGGAATTAGACAATTAATGTATTTAATATAGAACTCATAAGAAAGTTACCAAATTGTTTAATTTCTAAGGATTCTAAAATTCTAAAATGACATCATATTTCATATATTACCAAGAAAAATCATATCATTTTGATTATGATTAATTAAATGGCCTATAGAGTCTGTGACAACTGTTATGGAAAAGAGAAATGTAATCCTGTATTTTCAAGCAACATCAGTTCAAAGTTTAAAATAGTTTTACATTAGCAGTAATAATCTATATTTTAGTCTCACATATCTGCTTTTTGAAGAATCTCAACCTCTGAAAAAACTTCATTGTACATAATTTGTATTTGGTGAATTCAAAAGCAGTCCAATGGACCATCTGCCATTTCATTTGAACATTGAACAAAAGAAAAAATTCTTATACTTCCACATAAATACAAAACCTTATGGAACTAATTACATTCCCCTTCTTTTCTTTACCTATACAAAAGCCAATTAGGAATTGTCAGAACATATTGTGTTATTGTGATTCGGTTTTTTTGTTATGTTGTATTGATTTTTTCTTTCTCTTTTTATTTTGTGACTTATTGCTAAATTTTAGCCTTTGTGTTTAGAAGAATATCATTAATTTTTATTTGACTTTCATGGGTAAGTTGAATGACAATGAATTCCTACTTAAATGGAAAATGGAAAAAGTCAACAAACAAAAATCAATCAGAAAAAAATATTGTCTTCCATAAACAGGGCCCTAATTTTATAGGATTCATACTCAGGACTAACCAAGGTGTAGGATGTTAAACTATGTTAAGTTAAATAAGAAGAGATGCGCTTGACAAAGAAACTGTGGAAAATACTCCATTACCGGAAGTATGTTAAAACATGTATAGTGGTTCAGAGAATATGCTCTGGAATCTGCCTTCTAGGATTCTGGCACCATGTATGAGTCAATGACTTTATGAAAGATTTATGGGCTTTACTTTGCCCCTTTGTAAAATTAGTAAATCACTTTCTTATACAATGATTATCAGGATTTTATAAGAAATATTTGTAAGGCACATAGAACACTGCCGGACACATGGTAATTATTATAACATGAATAATTATAAACCGAAAACTTTAAATGACTTATTCTCATGGCTTCCTAATTCTGAGATAGTATTCATAAAGGAATAGTGGGCCGGGCGCGGTGGCTCAAGCCTGTAATTCCAGCACTTTGGGAGGCCAAGACGGGTGGATCACCAGGTCAGCAGATCGAGACCATCCTGGCTAACACGGTGAAACCCCGTCTCTACTAAAAAATACGAAAAACCAGCCGGGCGAGGTGGCGGGCGCCTATAGTCCCAGCTACTTGGGAGGCTGAGGCAGGAGAATGGTGTAAACCCTGGAGGGGGAGCTTGCAGTGAGCCGAGATTGCGCCACTGCACTCCAGCCTGGGAGACAGAGCGAGACTCCGTCTCAAAAAAAAAAAAAAAAAAGAAAAAAAAAGGAATAGTGACCTCCGTTCCAATTAATGTTCTAGGCCATTTTATTTGGACCTATTGACCTTAGCAATATTGGGGTTACAGTGGCCTTTGAGACTTCATACTGTGGGGAAAAAAAACTATATATACATATATATACGTATATATGTGTGTGTATATATATATATATATATATATATATATATATATATATATATAATCTGACAAAATGTTAATAGAAAATCTTCCTGACATGTTTCAGCAAAAAATCATTAGGGCACAACATAAAAAATTGATAGAGTGGACTTGATGAAAATTAAAAACTTACACTCTAAAAACTCTTTTGAAACAATTTAAAAAGTCATTAATTGGGATAAAATATTTGCACGTATGTATGACAAAGTGCCTTTGTGCAGTAGATACAAAAAAACCCTTACACTCCATCTCCATAATAAAAAAAATACTAAGCACTGCACAGTATGTATCATTGTTAGAACCTGCATGCATTTTCATGAGAGTGTACAATGATAAAATCACTTTGGAAAATAGCGTGACTCTTTTTCAAAAAAATCTATACTTTCTGTGTGACTCAGCAATTCCACTCCTAAGTAATATCCAAGAGAAATAAGAAATTTTACACAAATGTTAACAATTCATGCTGAAAGTAACCCAAAAATCTATATATCACAAACGTTTTATCCGTTTGCCCTATATAAAATAATCAATTACTCAGCAATATAAACTACTGATACACTTAAAAGCATAGATGGATCTCAAAAACATGCTGAAGAAGCCAGGAATAAAAGTATGTGTACTGTAGTACTGCAGGACTCCATTTTTATTAACCTCTGTTGACAGAACCTAGATCAGTGATTACCTGGGACTGTGTGTGTGCATGTATGTAGGCATAATTGCAAAAAGGCAAAAGAGCGCTATATGGTGTGATGGAACTATCTACTCCTAGGTAGAGGTAGTAATTACAAGTTGACAATGTTGTATGTAGTTGCCGTCACTCATGAAACTGTAAAGTTAAAATGTGTGCATTTAGTTGTATATAAATACTATCTCAATGAAGTTGAAAAATAAAAATGAAAACAAAAATGAAAAGAAGCCTTTAAAAAGTAACTTGAAATTAAAAATGTTCTAGAATATTGCAATTAAGTTTGAAAAATAAAATTAGTTTTATATAAATTACTATTTTGAAAAGTAACATATATGTGAAATAGCATATAAAACATAAGTAGATGGGGCATGGTGGCTCATGCCTGTAATTCCAGCAGTTTGGGAAGCCAAGGCCAGCAGATCACTTGAGGTCAGGAGTTCCAGACCAATCTGGCCAACATAGTGATACCATGTCTCTACTAAAAATACAAAAATCAGCTGGGTGTGGTGGCACACAACTGTAGTCCCAGCTACTTTGGAAGCTGAGGCAGGAGAATCGCTTGAACCCGGGAGGCAGAGGTTGCGGTGAGCCGAGATTGTGCAATTGCACTCCAGCCTTGGTGACAGAGTGAGACTCCATCTCCAAACAAAACAAAACACCCATAAACATGGTAAAGAACAATTATAATTCTCTGACTTGGAAAAGATTGTGTATACTCCATTTTTTTTTGAGTAAAACAATGTAGTTTGGTTTTATCAGGTTTTGATAATTTACATAAATAAAATTATACTGTATGTTCTCTTTTGTGGCTTCTTGAATAGTATTTAATACTACTAATACATCACAATTTATCCCTTCCACTGCTGATGAATATGTGGGTTGTTTTCATTTTGAGGCTATCCTAAGTGCTGTTCCATGCCTGTTTTACATGGGTATTAGGGCATGAAATTTTGTAAGATAAAACAAACCCCAAGAGTGGAAGAGCTGGGTCATGGGCTATGCCATTATTCATCTTATTCAGACAATGTTAAACAGATGTATATTCGTATGTGTTTGTGTACATTCCAAAAGATATATGAATTCCCTTATTATTTCAGACAATATTGCTATATCCTTAGGATGCACTGAGATGTATTACTCATGCACTCATATTTTTTAGACAATAGCACTTTTTAAGTTTTGTATCATCCCTTTAAATTTATTTTTTAAATTTATTTCTTTTCTTTTCTCCCTTTAATGTATTCTAGTATTAGAAAAATTCTGATGTTTCTGGCCTTTTCAATATTTTCTTTTCACTCAATGATATCCTTTCTGGGCCTTTTAGTTTAACATGTATGGAGTGGGAAGAATGTAAAGCAGCACATCCTCTCCGTCTAAAATGCACCATAGATTTATGCACAAGATACATAGGAGTGGAGAGAATAAGAATGTGTTTTGTTTTATTTGGCTTGAAGAAACTAAACTCTAAAATCTGGTTTAAAATAACGGGATTCAAAACAAAATACTGGATTTAAAATACTGTCAGCTTAAGTCAGTGTTTAGATACAGATTATAATATTTTATAATCTTTATGCATTGTGCTGTTTTAAGAATTAAGGGGGAAAATCATCCTTTCTATGATACAGTCCCAAAACCACAAACAAAACTTCGTTATTTTTCATCTAATATATTTCATAATGTAAAGGGACAGAGAAACTGGGATTTGAACAGGAACCACCACAATAATGTTTTTATTGATGGCTACAGTAAAATAAAGGCAAACTTACCGGAAGCATGTTTACTGTGAAAGACAAAATATCTTAATTTATGAAGGTCATTCTTAGGAGACTTTAGTCATGGTGTTTCACTTAAGGTTACTCCAGAAAATAAAAACCACATCAGGTATTTTAATACATAAGAAACTGTCTTCACATGCATTAAACAGGCAAAACTAGGGCACTGAGGTATCACAGAGGTGGTAATCTTATAAAACAATTGCCATCCCCAGAACTGAGGAAACAAAAAATCTTGGGGCAGAGCTGAGACCCAGTCTCCGAAGAATGGGTCCGCACTGGCTGGACAAATACCTTAGTAGTGTGTCCAGAATTGGTGGGTCCTTGGTCTCCCTGACTTCAAGAATAAAGCCGCGGACCCTTGTGGTGAGTGTCACAATTCTTAAAGATGGTGTGTCTGGAGTTTGTTCCTTCAGATGTTTTAGATGTGTCCAGAGTTTCTTCCTTCTTGTGGGTTCGTGGTCTCTCTGGCTTCAGGAGTGAAGCCGCAGACCTTCACGGTGAGTGTTACAGCTCTTAAAGGCGGCAAGTCTGGAGTTGTTTGTTCTTCCCGGTGGGTTCGTGGTCTCCGGCTTCAGGAGTGAAGCTGCAGACCTTCGTGGTGAGTGTTACAGCTCATAAAGGCGGGGCAGACCCAAACAGTGAGCAGCAGCAAAATTTATTGCAAAGAGCAAAAGAACAAAGCTTCCACAGTGTGGAAGGGGATCTAAATGGGTTGCCGCGGCTGGCTTGGGCAGCCTTCTTTTATTCCCTTATCTGACCTCACCCACATCCTGCTGATTGGTCCATTTTACAAGGAGCTGATTGGCCCATTTTGACAGGGTGCTGATTGGTGTGTTTACAAACCTTGAGCTAGACACAGAGTGCTGATTGGTGCATTTACAATCCTTTAGCTAGACACAAAAGTTCTCCAAGTCCCCACTTGATTGGCTAGACACAGAGCACTGATTGGTGCGTTTACAAACCTTGAGCTAGACACAGGGTGCTGACTGGTGCATTTACAATCCTGTAGTTAGACATAAAAGTTCTCCACGACCCCACCCAACTCAGGATCCCAGCTGGCTTCGCCTCGTGGATCCCACGAGGTTCTGGGCCCCAGGCAGAGCTGCCCACCAGTCCCACGCCATGTGCCTGCACTCCTCAGCCCTTGGGTGGTTGATGGGACCAGGCGCTGTGGAGCAGAGGGCGGTGCCTGTCCGGGAGGCTCCAGCCGCGTGGGAGCCCACGGGGCAGGGGGTGGTTCGGGCATGGTGGGCTGCAGGTCCCGAGCCCTGCCTCGCAGGGAGGTGGCTGAGGCCCAGCAAGAATTCGAGCACAGCACGGGCCGGCCAGCAGTGCTGGGGTACCCGGCCCACCCTTCGCAGCTGCTGACCCGGGTGCTAAGCCCCTCACTGCCCGGGGCTGGTGGCACTGGCTGGGCACTCTGAGTGCAGAGGGCCCACCGTGCCTGCGCCCACCTGGAACTCCCCCTGGCCTGCGAGGCCACACGTGGCCCTGGCTCCCACCCATGCCTCTCCCTCCCCACCTCCCCACAAGCAGAGGGAGCCAGCTCCGGCCTTGGCCAGCCCAGAGAGGGGCTCCCCCAGTGCAGTGGTGGGCTGAAGGGCTCCTCAAGCATGGCTAGAGTGGACGCCGAGGCCAAGGAGGTGAGGAGAGCAAGCAAGGGCTGCTAGCACATTGTCACCTCTCAGTAGGCTGGAGGAGAAACCGACTGGAAATTGAGCGTGGATTTCTGAGGAGTGGTTAGAGCTTGGCTGATGTGGTATCTTAAGGGCACACAATGAGGCTGGTTTAGGGAGTCTGAAAAAAAAAAGAAAATAACTGGAAATTGTAACAAATTGTTGTTACGGTTACTAAAACGGATACCCACTGCCTTTGTGTCAATTATTGCTCTGTAAAGCTTTCAGGAACAGACAACAAACAAAAAGAAAGAGCCCTGTTTTCCTTCCTCAAGCCCAACACGCTCCTTTCCTAACACCGCCCCCACACTCCACCTACCACAGAGAGGATATAACAGGGAGCAACTGGCAAGGGAAAATGTGATTTCCTAGTCCCAGCCCCAGCATGACAAATCACTTATAGAAAGATGGCTTTGAAGCTAAAAGACGATAGTTAATAAGCACACATGGAATTTTATAAAATCCCTATCTTTAGCAAATTAAAAAGTATAACAACCATCACTTGAATGCACTTCAATTTTCTGAAGGAAAAAAAGATTTTTGTGTGTGTGTTTGTGATTGGCTGTAAGAATGTTGCTTCTCCTAAATGATTAAAAGACACTTTTCCACTAAAAAGAAGCAATAAATTAGATATGGGATTCAGTATATTTCAGACTGTTCTAAAATCAAATATGTTTCTTTTACATATATATATGTAAAATATATAATGTATGTATTGAAAAGATATATATGCAGTCCTGAAAGTTTGGGTATAGGTTTCAAAGAAGGTAATCAGAAATATAGGGAGTTGAAATAATAGGAAATAAGAAAGTAAACAAGTTAACACAGAAGCATTTAGTTTTTTAAAATAAGCCTCTTAAATTAGTAATATAAAGGTTGTTTCCATATGAGCACATTGAAATTATTTTATTAATAAAATAATTACTTAACATTCAATTATGCAAACAATAGTGACTTACGCTGTATAGCTGAATTCATCATCAAGATGTCAGTTGCGTCTAAACTGAAAAAATTGTAAAATTGTGAAGCATGAAATTCTGAAAAATGAAAACATTGTGCCATGTGGCAAAATTATTTTTGAAAAGTATGCAAATGAAAACGAAATTCAGTACAATTTTGGCTTTATGAAAAGTATGCAGTTAGTAATAGATTGTGACTTTTATGTTATTACTCTAATCACTCATTCAGTTTTATATGTATGTGTACACTGGTCATAATAAAAATTTTAAATTATTTTATGGATGTACTTATTTATTGGCAACTAAATTAGAGTCTTTGGAAAGCAAAGACAGTTGCGTTTATCCCTTGGAGCAAATGTATGAAAGCAATGGCATGATTTTGGCATGTTTAATTCTAATAACCCCAAAGGAAATAAAAGAAGTACTGATACAAATTTAATTTTAGAATTAACTGTTAATTTCAGGCATGCAAGTTGGCATGGTGAATTTTAATTTTGAGGAATAGGACTGTTGAAGGAAACATAAAATTTTCCTAAGAATATCCAAAAAATCTGGGTCCTAGCAATCATTGGTTCATAATGCAGAGTTTCAATAAGGTATTTGAGCCATGGTCCTCAGTAAAATATAGCCAGATTTTTGTTTTTCACCTTAGGGAAAACACCTTAATTTCCCTAGACTATTTAGACTCGGAAGCTGCAAATCCTTGTTATTCTAAAGGAACTGCTTTGCTAATTTGACTTGCACCACATCCCTGCTGCTTGTTTTCCCTGAGGTTTTCCTTCCCTCCTGGGTGACACAACTTATCAGCAGCAGCTAGCTGAGCAGATGTTGTTCCTTAACTAGTATATGATTATTTTCTTCTAAGGGTAAATATTCCCATGTGTGTATCTTCCATTTCTGATCAGCTCTGTGTTGTATAAAAAACAGACTGTGTTTTCAGGGGGTTGTTTGTTTGTTTGTTTGTTTTTGAATATAGACTTTTAAGAAATTTCCATGTAAGTCTATGTTTTTCTAAAAAATTCTGGTAATTAAGACAAGCTCTACTTTATTCTTCACCAACATTGTCCTAAGTATTAAATATGAGTCCAGAAAATACTTTGGCTGTCTCAATATTGTTTTAGCACAAACTTTATTTAACTACATCATTCAATCTCTTTACATTTATTTTTATTTCAATTGATATTTCAATTGTGGTATATACCTGCAAAGAAATGCCTTTTATCTATTAGAAATATATTTGATTTGATTTTGTTGATTTTATACAATATGGATGTATGTTAAAATATTTATTCTGAGTGAAAAAATTCAGTCAGCCAAGAGAACAAATGGTATGATTCTATTTATACGTGTTTTCAGAAAACACAATTCAACCTTATTTTGACAGAAAGCAGAGCAGTGCTTGGTTTCTTGGGCATGAGAGAGGGCTGGAAAAGAGTGAGAGATTACAAATGGATATGAGAATGAGCAGCTAATGGGTATATTTTTATATTAATTTTGGTGATGTTTTCATGAAAATATAAATATATAAGATGGAGATCTATACTTATATATCTCAAAACTTGTCAAGTGGTACATTTTACCCACATGTATATAAATTATACATTGGCAAACTTGTAAGAATGTGTTATACACTAGGAGAGAAGAAATAGAAACAATCCAACAAAGAATTACTGAGGCTTGAACTCAAGATCCGTACCAATCCTGCTAACCAAACACCTTTTCCTGTCTTCTCATTTTTAGCTAACGGCACCAGTATTCATTTACATTCTATGGGTTATTTTCTGTAAGTCTTTCTTTATTTCTTCCTTTATCCCACTATTTTATCAGTGATTGTCCTTATCTCTAATTTCTCAGTGTTTTCAGAATTTAACCACCTCTGGTACTAATATCTAAGTATTTACATCAGTGTTTATTATTTGGGCTACCTGAATAACCACCAAACTTCTTGCCCTATTTTTACACTTGATCTACTATAGTTAATTTTCTATGTGACAGAGTAATCTTTAAAAGTTTTAGACAATTTTACGCACCCCAAACTTAAATTTTTCCCAAATCTTCCCCTGAAATGAAAAATAGAACCCAATGTATTTAACATGGCTAATAATGCTCTACAGGTTTTGGCCTCCACCTAATCAGACTTATTCCTGCATCAACCCTGGTATTTTGCTATTCACTTCCTCTGGAATACTACCACATCACAATTTTTATGGACTGCCTCTTCATGTATTCAGACTTTCTAATGCAGCCTTTTCAATAAAGCTCCTTCTGTACCCAATTCCTACAGCTCTCTATCATTTGACCTGTATTATTTTCTTTATAACACTTACTATTCTCTTAAAATATCCAGTTTATTTTATTTATTTTGCCCACTATAATATATGCTTTATTAAAGCAGGGACTTTTAGTGTTTCTTTGGTGGAAGAATAGAGAAATAGTTTAATAGAAATAAATAGTTTAGAATCAAACACATTTACGTGATCATTAAACATGACCTTAGCAGGAAAAACAATGATCATTACAAATAATATTGCTATATCAATAGGATATCCACATAGATTAAAAAATGGAATATATTTTTCTTTTTATTTTGTATGCTGGTTCCAGATGGAGTAGAAATAATGAAAGGATTTTAAAAATTACTCTTACATAAATGACATATTTTTCTTACATAGTATTATCTACATTGTATTATACGCTAGTATCAACTACAATAGCACAATTAATTTCAGAACATGGGCAAGATTTTGTTTTTGAAATTGCTTATTGCAACAATGTCATTAAACATCTTTAGATTTTTCTTGTGAATATATTTATACTTTTTACTTTAAATTTAAAAGATTGGAATTATTAAAAATATGGATTATTATTAATACAAATTTATTTTTAAAAATAATTTGTTCCAATACTTCTTAAATATTTATGGATATTTTATGAAACATTATTTATTAAAATACTGCATATTCTCTATTATATGTGGCATCTAAATAATTGAATCCATAGAAGCAGAGAGTAGAATGGTGGTTATGGAGTCTGCAGGATGAGGAAAATTGGGAAAAATATGTTTTTGGGTTTTTTTTTTAGTTCTATTACACAGCATTGTAAATATCGCTAATAATAGAGTATTATAAATTTCAAAATTGCTAAGAGCAAATTGCTAATGTTCCCACCACAATAATGTTAAGTATTTGAGGTGATAGATATGTTAAATAGCTTGATTTTATTCTACATTGTATTCCTTAATCATAACATCGCTTTGTACCTCATAAATGTATACAAACTGTCACTTTATAACAAAAAAACAAGCAAAAGGACAATTATCTGGAAATATATCTCTAATGCTAATATATTTCTTCTTTTATTTGTATCTGTCTTACTGTCTGCCTTTATGCGAATTTCCTTATTTCAAAGGCTCTTGGATTTGCACTTGTTAAGCTTATATTTGGGCAAAAAACCCTTGATTTCTTAAAATAAATCATATGCATTAAATTTTGAAAAAAGTATGGTACAACGTACACAAATTAGTCAAAGTAATACTATACATTAAGGTCATTAAGGATACAAATAATATGATTTTCTTAATAGATGTAGAAAAAGTCTTTGTCAAAATTCAACATTCTTTCATGACAAAAAAAAACTCTGAATAAATTAGTGAAAAATTGAAAGCTTTTTCTGTAAGATTCAGAGCAACAGAAGGATGCTTACTCTCACTACTACTATTCAACCTGGCTGTTTCAATACTAGTCGGAGCAATTGAGGAAGACAAAAAACTGAAAGATAGCCAAGTCAAAAAGGAATAAGTAAAATTATCTGTTTGCAAATGACACAATCTTTTTTTAAATTTCTTTTTCTTTTTTTTTTTGGAGATGGAGTCTCACTCTGTTGCCCAGGCTGGAGTGCAGTGGCATGATCTCCGCTCACTGCAACCTCTGCCTCCTGGCTTTAAGCGATTCTCCTGCCTCAGCCTCCTGAGTTTCTGGGACTACAGGCACATGCCACCATGCCTGGCCAATGCATATATATATAATGCATTATATATATATTTTAATGTATATATTTATATATACATAAATATATATTTATATATATAAATGTATATATTTATATATACAAATTTATATATTATATATATTTTATATATAAATTTATATATTATATATATTTTTATATATAAATTTATATATTTTATATATAAATTTATATATTATATATATTTTTATATATAAATTTATATATTATATATATTTATATATTATATATAATGCATTATATATAATGCATATATATTTGTATTTTATATATTATATTTATATAATATATTTTATATTATATATAAATAATATATTTATTTATATGTAATATTATTTATAATTTATATATTATATATTATATATATTATTTATTTATATATTATTATATATAAATAATATAAATAATATTTAATATATATAATAAAAATTATATATATTATATATAATGCATTATATATAATGCATATATATTTTTATTACATATATAATATTATATATCTATAAATATCTATCTATCTATCTATATTTGTATTCTAGTAGAGGCAGGGGTTTCACCATATTGCCCAGGCTGGTCTCAAACTCCTGAGCTCAGGCAACCTGCCTGCCTCAGCCTCCCAAAGTGCTAGGATTGACATAATCTTATATGTAGAAAACCATAAACACACATTCACTTTGAAACACTGTTAGAACTAATAAAAGAATTAGGTAAGAATTGCAGGATACAAAATTAACACACAAAAATCAGTTGCATTTCTATATATTAACAATGAGTTATTGAGACAGAAATTAATAAAACAATGTCATTTGCAATAGCATCAAAAAGAATAACACACTTAGGAATAAACTTAACTAAAGGCTTAATTATATTGTATACTGAAAACTATAAAACACTGATGAAAAAATTAAATCAAACAAAATAAATGTAAAGACATCCCATGTTCATGGATCAAAATAATTAATATTGTTAAAATGTACACACTACGAAAAGCAATCTAAAGATTTAATGCAACCCCTATCAAAATCCCAATGGAATTTTTTATAAAGATTGAAATAAATTAAATTGATCTGATACTACTAAAGACCCCTGATAAGCAAAGCAATTTTAAGCAAGCAGAACAAAGATGGAGCCATCACATTACTTGATTTCAAAGCATGTTGCAAAGCTATAGTAGTCAAAACCGTATGGTGCTGGATAAAACAGACATATAGACCAATGGAACAGAATAGAGAGCACAGAAATAAACCATGACAACTGATCTTTGACGAGGGTGCCAAGATAATGCAATGATGTCTTTTATCAATTACTACTTACACATAACATGATCTCATAGATAGAAAATGGTGAGAAGTCTAATAAAAAAATTGTTAGTACCCATGAGTGGACAAAATCCTTAATAGACATTTCTCTCAAGAAGTCATATAAATGGCCAAAAATTATAAAAAGGTACCCAACATCACTAATCATCAGTTAAATGCAAATCAAAATCATAGTAAGATACCTCCTTACTACCTATTAGAATGGCTGTTTTCACAGATAAAAGATGTGTCAGCAAGGATGTATAGAAAAGATAACCCTAGTATACTGTTACTGAGAATGTAAATTGTACAACATTATAAAAAAACATTTTTCTCACAATTAAAAATAGAAATACCAAATGCTTTAGCAATGCTAAAAATATTGCTAAATATCTTCAGATATTTATTCAAAGGAATTGAAGTCAGAATCTCGAAGATACACCTGCATTCCTATGTTCACTGAAGCATTACTCACAGTAGCCAAGATGTTGTAACAAACTTTCTGTCCATGAATTTAAAAATTTGGTACATATATAAATATACATATCATATATATAAAATTTAGCCTTAAAAATTATGAAATTCTATCATTTGTGATAACATAGAGGAAACTTGGAGCTATTATGCTAAGTGAAAGAAGATATAGAAGGAAAAATATTACATGATTGTATTAGTCCAATTTCATACTGCTATAAAGAACTGCCCTAGACTGGGTAATTTACAAAGGTAAGAGGTTCAACTCACAATTTCACATGGCTAGGGAGGCCTCAGGAAACTTACAATCATGGTGAAAAGCAAAGGGGAAACAAGTCACTTTCTTAACAAGGTAGCAGGAGAGAAAATGATGCAGGAGCAATGACCAAACACTTATAAAACCATCAGATCTTATGAGAACTTAATCACTATTATGAGAACAGCATGGAGGAAACCTCCTCCATGATTCAATTACCTCCACCTGGTCTCTCCTTTGACACGTGGGGATTATGGAGATTACAATTCAAGATGAGACTTTGGGTGGAGACACAGCCAAACCATATCAATGATATATATAATAAGTCTGAAATAGTCAAACTCTTAGAAGCAGAGAATAAAATGGCAGTTGCCAGGGCTCAGGAGGAAGAAGGAGGGGGAGAAGTATTCGTTAATGGTTACAAATTGTCAATTATACAGATGAATGAATTCAAGCAATCTCCTGTAGAGCATAATGTCTATAGTTAACTATACTGTGTATTTAAACATTTGCTAAGGGGATACATCTTATACTCCCTCCCTCCCTCCCTCCTTCCCTCCCTCCCTCCTTCCCTCCCTCCTTTCTTTCTTTCCCTTCCTTTCTTTCTTTCTTTCTTTCTTTCTTTCTTTCTTTCTTTCTTTCTTTCTTTCTTTCTTTCTTTTCTTTCTTTCTTTTCTTTCTTTCTTTCAAGACAGGGTTTGGCTCTGTCACTCAGGCTGGAATGCAGTAGTGGCAAAATCATGACTCACTGCAGCCTCAACCTCCCAGGCTTAAGTGATCCTCCCACCTCAGCCTTCCAAGTAGCTGGGACCACCAATACACCCAGCTAATGTTTTAATATTTTTATAGAGATGAAGTCTCACTTTGTTTTCCAGGCTGGTCTCAAACTCCTGGCATCAATCCATCCTCCCACCCAGGCTCCTAAAGTGCTGGCAGTACAGGCATGAACCACCACCCCAGCATATATTAAGTGTTCTTATCACACACTCAGTAATAATAATAAAGAACACAGGAGAGAGGTTTTAGAGGTGACGGGTATACAGTTATTTGTATAGCAATCATACTTCAATAAAGTAAATTTTTAATAAAAAACTAGAACATCAAAAAATAATAACTGGTTAGAGAATGCATGTATTCAGTCACAAGTAGGGCTGATTAGATGGATTTCATAAATGCAAGTAGAAATCATGTGTGGAATGTGTCTTATGTTATTGGTAAACTAGCAACTAATCAAATAAATTTTTAGCAATAATAATGAGTCTTCTATTCTTTTTCCTTCCTATAATTAAATGTGAAGGGACTTTGTAATTAGATAATTTTTAAATGTGGATATAGCTTACTCCTTTTCACTTAGTTACAAATTACAGCTGCATGATAACCTCACATTAATCTCAGAATAACCATCTGAAGGAAACATTTATACAACTTTTTTTTGTTTGTTTGTTTGAGATGGAGTTTCACTCTTGTTGCCCAGGCTGGAGTGCCATGGTGCTATCTCAGCTCACTGCAACCTCTGCCTCCCGGGTTCAAGTGAATCTCCTACCTCAGCCTCCCGAGTAGCTGGGATTACAGGCATGCACCATTACACCTGGCTAATTTTTTTGTATTTTTAGTAGAGACAGGGTTTCTCCATGTTGGTCAGGCTGTTCTCAAACTCCCAACCTCAGGTGATCCGCCCGCCTCAGCCTCCCAAAGTGCTGCGATTACAGGCATGAGCCACCGCGCCTGGCCTATACAACTTTTAATTGATGGTCATATTTCCACTTCACCAATCATTTGGATTTTGATATGGTCTGGTTCTATGTCCCCATCCAAATCTCACCTTGAATTGTAATCCAAATTATAATCCACATGTGTTGAGGGAGGGACCTCGTGGG
Source organism: Homo sapiens (assembly GCF_000001405.40). Taxonomy (NCBI): domain Eukaryota; kingdom Metazoa; phylum Chordata; class Mammalia; order Primates; family Hominidae; genus Homo; species Homo sapiens. Next base: position 97,658,029 of record NC_000011.10, on the reverse strand, counting down.
AGGTGATTAGATCACGGGGGCAGTTCCCCATGCTTTTCTTGTGGTAGTAAGTTCTCATGAGATCTGATGATTTTATGAGGGGCTTTCCCTGCCTTCACACTGCACTTTTCTCTCCTGCTGCTATATGAAGAGGGATGTGTTTGCTTCCACTCCCAACATGAATTGTAAGTTTCCTGAAGCCTCCCCCGCCTTTCAGAACTGAGTCAGTTAAATTTCTTTCCTTTATAGATTACCCAGCCTCAAGTATTTCTTCATAGTAGCATGAAAATGAACTAATACAGATTTGGTTATAATATATTAAAAAGGAACAGTGGATAGATAAGAGGTCCTACCGTTTATACAGGACAGAAAAGATCTGAATAGTCTGTAAAGACATATTAAATCTATACTATACGATGGCATCTATTGATATTTTTGAATTTTTTTTATTTTCAAAAAAAAAAAAAAAGCCTGCAGCACCCAGTCTTCACAAGTGGTCTCTCATCCAAGTACTAATCAGGCCCAATCCTGCTTAGTTTCTGAGATCAGATGAGATTGGGCACATTCAATGTGTTTTGGCTGTAGACTGATATCATTTACATAGTGGTAATTTTCATGAATAATAGTAAAGACAATAGATTTTTCTGTCTTTTCTGTTTCAGTAAAAAATGTGGTATGCTCTGTTATGCATAATATAATGAACTGGCAATTATAATTGGTTCTTATTACAGGTCATTTTGGGCAAATTTTATCATCAGTAATTTTGAAAGCAACATTAAGATAGAGTTGATAGGAATAAATCATTATAGTTTATTAGCATTGAAATTATTCATTTCCAGTTAACACTAAATGAATAGGAATGGAGAAGAAATTGTGTTGGTGTAGCATTTTTAATTAGTTTTTGTTCTGGAATGCCTTGTCCTGGATGAATAGAAAATAAGCCTTTTTCTGAAACTCCATTGCAAAGTTCTAGAGGTTCTTATACCAAGAAAGAAAGTCTCTAGATTGTAAAAGTTACATTGCAAATTTTCTCTTATGATTTTTGTCATTATAACTGTTAAAGTTACACTTTCACTTTTCTTTTATGGTTGATAGTTCAATTTGATATTGGCATTAATTCTGGGTTGGCTTTTTATTATAAACAGTACGTGTGTATAAAGTCTACAGAATATTCTATAAGATAGTAAAAGTACACATCCTTGACACATAATTGTTCTGATCACAGTCATGTCTAAATCCTAGAGCAGTACCACAGAGTGAAATGTAAGAAAAGTGTGCTTCTGAGTTGTTCCCGTGGGCACTTTGTTTTATCTCTGTATATACCTAGAATGTTTCTATTATCAAGCTAGTTTCTGTAGAAAAGATAAAAATAATAGTAAGATCATTTCACTGGTGCTTACTCGTGGATCACATGAGATTTCTTATTGAATTTGAACTCTGTAAATAATATAAAGCAACACCAAGTTTACCTTGGCTAAGTGACCAAAATTGAGTATCTTAGAGTGACATACATTTTACAATGAGATGTATTAACTTTGACTTCCTTCTTAAGAAATGAATCATTCATCAGCTGTATTGTGTGAAACATCAACATATCCTAAGACGTATCCAATTATTATATATAGGCACACTGATAAGAGAATAGAGAGGTAAAAATGCATACCCTGAGAGATTTGAGGCCAATAGTGAGATAGAATTAGCAACAAGCATAAAATGTATAAAAATTACATGATATTTTAAATTCAAAAATTTGTTTCCCACCTAATATTATGTATGTATTCACTAAAATATAAATAATAAAAATAGCAACATGTTTTCTGCTATAAAAGATATCAACAGGTATTTGTGGTAAAGGGTCAGATAAATTGGCTTGCCAGTCATATGGCTTCTTATAATTGTAGTGATAAAGTACTCATAGAGAATATGGAAATGGATAAGCATGGTCATGCTTCAATAAAACTTTATTTTAAAATTAATATGTCAGAGTTAGAATTGGCTCTTCAGCTGTAATTTGTTGACTTCTGACCTAAATCTTTGAACAATAATGACATGCCTGAATATGAGCCATCTTCTATTTGGGGTTTTATTTCCCTGAAATAATAATTTGTGCAGAACTAAAATACAGTAAGACCTGTCCAACAAAACTTACATTAAAAATCTTGGTGTGCCTACAATCTTATTTAATAATAAACAGCTATACTTCTTATGTGTTCTAATCCTACCCCAAGATCTAAGGCTTTTCCACTGTTGATATTTATTTTATTGCTCACTTATATGGGGAGTATAAACAGAAATAATAAAATTGCATGAGTATGTAAGTTTTACTTTCCACAAATACTGTAGAATTACCCAAATGCAACCTAAATTAGTCTAAAATATTTTGAGACATCATGCATATTTTGTGAAGTCAATCTTATCACATTATTGTTATAACTTACGAGTTTCAAAGGCAGATAAGCAACCTAGTTTGGAAACTAAACATATGAATTTAAAACAGAATTCTTATTATTATTGCATTCGTACTCATTAAATCAGTTAGTACTACCTATTTCAACTACTTCATGTAATTTTTGTGAGAATAAAATTTGATATATTTATATATATATCATATATATTTAAGATGTATATCTTAAAATTATAGTGTTAATGTAAGAGTATATTATTACAGTTTCAGTAATAATATTATTTATTTGGTTAGATTGCTAGCATATTAATGTTAGAAGATATTTGATAATTTTTTCTTTTTTTTGAAACAAAATCTTCCTTTGTTGCCGACACTGGAGTACAGTGGCGCAATACTGGCTCACTGCAACCTGTATCTCCCGGGTTTAAGTGATTCTAATTTACATAGTGGGCAATCCCAAGTAGCTGGGATTACAGATGTGTGCCACCACGCCCAGCTAATTATTATTATTATTTTACTTTTAGTAGAGATGGGGTTTCACCATGTTGGCCAGGCTGATTTTGGACTTCTGACCTCAAGTGATCCACCCACCTCGGCTTCCCAAATGCTGGCATTACAGGCATGAATCCACACACCTGGCTGATATTTGACAATTGTAGCCATATTTAGTATTATGTAAGCTAGCTCTTAAATTTCTGTTTATGGTTATCTGACAATGGAAAAAGAGATGTTAATCCTATTTATTGGGAGTTTTCTGCTGTTATGTAAAGATATAACCTATTATTGAAAAAGAAGTGAAAGTCATATTCACAAATATAATATTGAGATAGTAAGTATAATTTGACCTACAATATATAATAAAATGCAAATATATTAATACTGTTCTGTATGAGCTAACAAGAAGAGCATTCCTAAAATCCCAGATTATTGCAGTTGAGTCTACCCTGCTCCCACCACATACACATGCAGCTGCTTCCAAGCAGGAATTTGAAGGAGATGTACCAGATAGTGTCAGACCCTAATGGATCATCTTAGGGGAAACTTGCCCCAGCGTGAAACTTTTCTAGTAGCCCTAAATATTTCTGATTTGAAACATACTCTTAAACCTAACTCTAACTTTCCAACTCTCTGAATATGGATGTAAAGGAAACATAGACACAGAGTCATAATCAAGTAGAAAGTGTTACTACTATATTAGGTGTCAACCATGTTCATCTTGTGAAAAAGAATGTCCAGTCCATAAATGATCCTAACTGAGGACAAAGATATGAGAATAGGATTTTATGTATTGGCAACATTTCCATCTTTTCTTTTAATTTTTAAAACATTATCAAACATAGCTATCTTACTTTTTTCGAATAGTAACTATTCTTCAGATCATTTAATCTTTGGAAATTTTTAGGAAAATAATCCAAAACATAGAAATAAGGCAAAAGTTGGGTGATGTAATTTTAATGTCACATGATAATTCAAGTCCATCTAAGAATTTTCTAAGGAAATGTGTTTGAGTCACTGTGTACTATTGCAAGAAGCTGCTAGACTTAGTAAAGTTATTATTAAATTACATAAATGTTCAGGTTAAAATTCAAATAATTTATGCATAGTAGAAAAGTTAACTTAAATATTGAGAATTATTGCTTAACACGACATTAAGTCAGTTTTGAAATTAATCTAGGAAACTTAACATACCACTATTATATTTTCTATAAATATGTAAGCCCTCAAATGATCTTTCAATCAATTTTAACATCTTCCTTCCTCATTAATTAACGTACTGAATAAAAGATTTGGCAAATGGCATTTTACAGTTGAAAATAGGATGTAATTTATCTTTTGAAAATTATATTTTTGCAGTTTTAAAGGATCAAACAAGATACCCACATGGACTAACCTGACAAATGTAATGAAACTATGCTGTTTGTTTGCCTAATTAATCCTAAATATTTTATACTGGTTTACTGATAAAATAAGCTAAGGTTATACATTCATAACATTTAGAAATACGGAATCATAAATTTGTGATCTATTATATTGGATCATATTCCTGTCAATGCTTTTAAACAGTAATTATGATTTGTATTTTGTAAATTTGAGCGTAATTCCCAAGATCCTCAGATAAACTAAAGGAAAAAATTGTAGGATAATTAATGGATAATTATTGGATAACAATTATTGGACAGCAATCCATAGGATAATTAATAAACTTACACAATTCTTATGTAAAATGAAATATTGAAACATGGATTACCAAGCAAAATTTTGATTTTGAATGCCTTTGCTTCTCATATGTTATTTGAGGCATGTTAATTTAGATGTTAATTTTTGTCAATATAAGATGATGAAAAGGGAAGATAGTTGTAAAAAAGTTATTTCTTTTCATAAACTTTGCTTTTTTCATTAAAATTTGTGTATATGACAAAGTTTATATGACTTTTCTCTGTGTTTTCTGACTAAAATAGAAGTTAATTACAGTTACAATTATATTTATTATAATAAATAATATTATACAATTATATTTATTATAAGTATTTTTGTGGTTTGGATGAATGTATGATATGTAATGGCATAATTTTTTGTTGTTTTGTAGAAAAAGCAAGATTGGCTAACAGAATAGAAATTCACTCTAAAATTAATAGAGCATAGTGAAAGATAAAATCTGGGTATATGTAGCAATTTTTCAAGGGTAGATTATAAATTTTGAAAATTACACTTTACAAAGCATTCAGGGAGGCTAAGGTTAATTTCAGAGGCTGCCTTTACATAGTTTAAAAACCAACCTGGTGGGGGTGTCCAAGATGGCCAACTAGAAGCAGCTAGTGTGCACTGGTCTTATGGACTGGAATGGAAGGGGAAATAAATACAGTTTTTCCAACTGAAACATCCAGGTACAAACATTGGGACTAATCAAGAAAACAACTTGACCCACTAGGAATAGAGAAAAGGCAAGGCAGGACAATAACCCATGCAGGAGTGACACAGAGCCAAAGGAATCTCCCCTGCTCAGGGAAGTGGTAAATGAATGTGTGACCCTGGGAACTCATGCTTCTCCCATGAATCTTTGCAACCCTTGGGTCAGGAGATCCTCTCACCAACTCACTCCACCAGGGCCTTCAGTCTGACACACAGAGCTACATGGAGTCTCAGCAGAGTAGCCATTCAGGCATACGCAGAGACCTGGGAACCTTAGATACCTGGGGTTTCAGGGCTTCCCTGCAAAAGCAGCTACAACTCTGGCAAAGCAGGAGGTTAGATTCCTGTACAAATTCCTAGAAAAAGGGCTGAATCCAGGGAGCTGAGCAGCAACAGCCTGCAGGCCCTGCTTCCATGGCACCTCATAGGATAAAACCCACTGGCTTGAAACTCCAGCCAGCCACCCATAGCAGCCTTACACCTCCCTGAGACAGAGCTTCCAGATGGAGAGGTGGGCTGCCATCTTTGAAGTTTAGCCAACTTAGCCATTTTAACCTTTGGGCTTGGGGGAGTCTGAGGTGACCAGGGGCTGAGGCAGACCCCCATTACAGCACAACTGCTCTGTGAAAATATGGCAAGACTACTCTTTTAAGTGGGTCCCCAGTATTGTTCTTCCTCACTGGGTGGGACCTCCCAACCAGGATCCCAAGCAACCTCCTATAGGGGCATTTGGCCCGGCAACATGTCCATACCTCCCTGGGGTGGAGTTCCATGTTTGCTGTTTTCAGCCTTCAGTGTTGGGAAGTGGAAGACCACCATCTTTGCTGTTTTGCAGTCTTCGCTGTTGATACCTCCAGATACTGGAAAATCCACAGTGACTAGAAAATGGAGTGGACCACCAGCATACCACAGCAGCCCTATAGAAAAGTTGCCACACTGTTCCGTGGGTGCCCATTCTCATGTCTCCTAACTGGGTAGATCCTCCAGGCCTAGGCCTCAAGCCAACGCTTTCTAGGGCTATTGAGCTAGTATCAGCTTTGGACAGAGCAGCCAGAGGCAACTGAAAGCATCTCTGTCACTGCCTCTGTAGTGGAACTGCCCTTGTTATCTTTGGATTAATGAAACAGCAAAGACTCGAAGTGCCTTATCCATACCCTTAACAAGCTGCAGTTGACCCAAGGAGAGGAGGCCAGTCACTCTCCCATGGGTCCCACTCACTGTCCCCCCAAACCACAACTCATCACCAGACAGGGAATCCCTGGCTTGGGCCCACAGCACAGGCTTTCCATTTTGGACTGATTGGACTGAGTGATTATGGACATTTATCTCTCTTAGGTGGAAACTCCAGGAGACAAGCAAAAGACCTTTGGCCACAATGACTACTAAGGTCCCTTTCTCCTCCAAGGTGGGCAGTGGGCAGCCAAGAAGCACCAAACCATGATCTACAGGCAGCACTCAAGGAGGAGAGGAACCCACACTTTGAGAGCATTGAGAGAAAACATGGCTGAAACTGTGAGAAAATATAGGGGAGCCACACAACTGAGCAAGAGTTTACCAACTCACCAGTACACCTAAGTGCCACCTACTGGATCACACCCTAAAGCTTCCACACCAAAAATACTTCCCTAAAATCCTTTCCTGTGAAATTCAAGACAAGAAATCAGCTTCAAATAAAGTCACTGAACAAAGCCTTGGCCCTGTGAAAATATCCAGAAAAGAAGTCTATTGACTATACTCAATCTACACTGCAGTTAAATTAACACTCACATGCAGTGATGAGAAACAGCCAATGCAAAAACTCCAGTAACTCAAATGGCTAGAATGTTGATGTCCTCCAAACTACTGCTCTAGTTCTCCAAAAAGAGTTCTTAACCAGGCTGAGCTGGCTGAAATGACAGAAAAATAATTTAGAATATGAATAGGAATGAAGATCACTGAGATTCAGGAGAATGGCAAAACCCAATTCAAGAAAACTAAGAAACACAATAAAATAATACAGAAGGTAAAAGATGAAATAGCCAGTATAAAAAGGAACCTAATGGATTTGACAGAGCTAAAAATCACAATACAAAAATTTCACAATACGTTCACAAGTATTAACAGCAGAATAGACCAAGCTAAGAAAGGTATCTAAGAACATGAGGACTGCATCTCTGAAGTAAGAGTCAGACAAAATTTTTTAAAAAAAGAATGAAAAGGAATGAATAAACCTTCAAGAAGTACGTGATTATGTAAAGAAGCCAACTTTACAAACCATTTGCATCTGTGAAAGAGAAGGGGAGAAAGTAAACAAATTGGAAAACATATTTCAGGATGTCATCTATGAAAACTTCCACGACCTTGCTAGAGAGGCCAAGAGTAAAATTCAGGAAATACAGAGAACCCCTGCAAGATTCTACACAAGAAGAATATCCCCAACACACATAATCATCAGATTTTTCAGGGTCAAAATAAAAGAAAGAATGTTAAAGGAAGCTAGAAATAAAGAGTAGGTAACCTACAAAGGGAAAGCTGTCAGGCTAACAGCATACCTTTTATCTGAAATTCTAGAAGCAAGAAGAGAATGAGGGCCTACATTAAATATTAAAAAAATAAAAATCTTCAACCAAGAATTTCATATCAAGCCAAACTATGCAAAGGACAAATAAGATCCTTTTCAGATAAGCAAATGTTGAGGGAGTTTGTTACCACCAGACCTGTCTTACAAGAGATTTTTAAAGGAGCACTAAATATAAAAAGGAAAGACTGCTACCAGCTGATGCTAAAACACACATAAATACACATACCAGTGACACTATAAGCAACCACACAAGCCAGCACAATAACCAGATAGCAACACAATGACAGAATCAAATCCATACATATCAATATTAACCTTGAATGTAATTGAGTAAAATATCCGACTTAACAGGCACAGAGTGACAAGCTGAATTAAAAGAGCAAGATCCAATAGTATTCTGTCTTCAAGAGACCTATGTCACAGGAAATGACACTTATGGGCTACAAATAAAGGGATGGAGGAAAATCTACCAAGCAAATGGAAATCAGAAAAAAGCAGGGGCTGCAATCCTAATTTCAGACAAAACCAACTTTAAACCAACAAAGATAAAATAAGATAAAGAAGAGTATTACATAGTGGTAAAGGGCTCAATTCAACAAAGACCTAACTGTCCTAAATATATATGCACCCAACACAGGATAACCCAGATTATAAAGAAAGTTCTTAGAGACTTAAGAAGAGACATAGACTCCCACACAATAATAGTGGGAGACTTCAATACTCCACTGACAGTATTAGACAGATTATTGAGGCTGAACATTCACAAAGATATTTAAGACCTAAAGTCAACATTAGACCAAATGAATCTGATAGATCTCTACAGAAATCTTTGCCCTAACAAAAGAATATACATCTTTTTACTCATTGTCACATTGCACATACTCTAAAGTCAACCACATAATTGCACATAAAACAATCCTCAGCAAATACAATAGGGCTGAAATCATACCAAACCCACTCTCAGACAATGATGCAATAAGAATAGAAGTCAAGACTAAGAAACTCGTTGAAAAGAATACAATTACATGGAAATTAAACAACATGCTCCTGAATGAGTTTTGGATAGTCAAATTAAGGCAGAAATCAAGAAGTTCTTTGAAACTAATGAGAACAAAAATACAACATACCAGAATCTGTAGCAGAAAACTTTAAAGCAGTTTTAACAGTGAAATTTGTAGCACTAAATGTCCGCATGAAAAAAATAGAAATACTTCAAATTAACAACCTAAAATTACAACTGAAAACATTAGAGAATCAAAAACAAATCAACCCAAAACCTAGCAGAAGACAAAAAATAACCAAAATTCGAGCTGAATTGAAGGAAATTGAGCATAAAAATCCATTCAAAAGATCAATGAATCCATTTAAAAAAATGTTGAATAAAATAAATGGGTTTGCTAGCTAGACTAAAAAAGAAGATAAAAGAGAAAATCCAAAAAAATACATCTAGAAATGACAAAGGGAATGATACCACTGACCCCACAGAAATAAAAATAACCATCAGAAACTACTATGAAAAGCCATATGAAGATTGAAACTTGAAATCTTGCTTATATCACATAAAAAATTAACTGAAGATGGATTAAAGATGTAAATTATGTAAAACCCCAAAATATAAAATCCTGAAAGACAACCTAGGTAATATCATTCAGAACATAGGCACAGGCAAAGATTTCATGACAAAGATATAAATAACAATTGCAAAAAAAGCAAAAATTGACAAATAAGATCTAATTAAACTAAAGAGCTTCTTCACAGCAAAATAAACTATCATCAGATTGAAGAAAACCTACAGAATGGGAGACAATGTTTGCAATCCATGCATCTGACAAGGGCCTAATACCCAGCATCTATAAGTAAATTAAACAAATTTACAAAAAAAAAAAAAAACAGCATCATAAAAAGTGGGCAAAGAACATGAACAGGCATGTGAACGTTATTAGATTCTTCTAACCAACCCTTGTGTCACTAAGCTAAAAGGAATAAGCTCCTGAATACACATCACCCATTTAAAGAAAGGTGTTTCACCAATTTGGACTTTATCTCAAATGGGTGATCTAAAATTGAAATTCTCCAGAACCAACAAGGCTGAGAAAAAGACAGTATCTTAGGTAGTCAGCTTTCTCAAAACACCAGACCAGGCCTGTATTTAAATGAACACTTAATATTAATAATTGTTAACAGATAGAGAAAGTCTTCCTTTTCAGGTTCCTACTGACTTTTTTTTTCTTTTCATGTTGAGTTCTTATGTTTTGTTATTACTGTCACCAGCCGTTGCCCATGAAGCAAACCTCTTTGCAATGGACTCAAGACTATGCTGATAAATTACAGAAAAACACTTGTTGGTTATGGGGCCTCATGCCACTTTCCAGTGGTTCTGGCCTATGATGGTGGGTATATTCTTTCTAAGGACAGGATTAAATAGAATATCAGAAATAGATAACTTTTTCTCAAGAACAGTTATTGGTGTTTAACAGTAGGCTAAGCATGACGTGCATCATTAGCCTATTGATAACACTTTCCAAAGCGATTGCAACTTTAAATTATCCCAAGCCTTAAAAGGAATAGGTCTGTATAGCCTGAGTCATTTGGCATGCAGCTGTAACTTCTACCTGTTTTTCTCCTGTAAATAATTAGGAAGATCAAGTCAAACGCAAGATAAGACCCCCTTAGACCTTTACCTTTCCTCAAGGAATAATAAAGTAATCTTCCTTGGAACATAGCAATCTGTAACCAAATTGTTGTAATGTATATATTGGTGTTGTATGAAAAATGTTGTAATACTGCTAAAACTTCTCTCTCTGCCTATACAAGTGAATGCTTAGCTTCTCCTCTTTGTAATACTGACCGTATTTGATTAGGTTTTTTTAATGGGTTGCCATCCTCAAGCTTTGCACTCATATAAACTCTATAGTTAATATATTTTTCTGAAACTTATTATTTAAGATTGACAATGGTATGAAATATGGGTATTCTGCATGTGGTTATCCAGTTTTCCTAGCACCATTTATTGAAGAGACTATCCTTTCTTTGTTGCGTGTTCTGGACACTGTTATTGAAGATCAGTTGACTGTAGATGTGTGGATTTATTTCTTGGTTCTCTATATTGTTCCATTGGCCTATATGTTTTTGGTTTATGTAGGTTCTCTGCTGTCTGAGTATTCTAGCTTTGAATATTTTGAAATCGGGTAGTGTGGAGCTTCCAGTTTTATTCTTTTTGCTCAAGACTGCTTTTTTTATTTAGGGCCTTCTGTGTTACCATATAAATTTTAGATTTGTTGTTTTGTATTTCTGTAAAAACTGCCATTGATATTTTGATAGAGATTTCATTGAATCTGTAGATGACTTTGGATAACATAAACATGCTAATGATATTAATTTTTCCCATCTGTGAACACAGGATATATTTCCATATATCTGTGTCTTTAATTTCTTTCATCAATGTTTTATGGTTTTTAACGTACAAGTCTTTTATCTTATCTCCTGGTTAAGTTTATTCCTAAGTACTTTACTCTTTTTGTTGCTATTGTAAATATGACTGCTTTCTGAATGCCCTTTGTGGATAGTTTGTTGGTTGTGTATAGTTTATGTTTGTATAGACAATTGATTTATGCATGTTGATTTTGTATCCTGCAACTTTTCTGAATTTTTAGTTCTCACAGATTTTTGTAGAGTTTTTAGAGTTTTCTACATGTATGATCATGTCATCTGGAATCAGAGATTATTTTTCTTTCTTTCATATTTGAATGTCATTTATTTCTTCTTCTTATCTACTCACTCTGGCTGGGACTTCCAGGACTGTCAAATAGAAAGAAGTGGTGAGAGTTGGCTTGGACCAGATCTTAGAGGAAAAGCTTTCAGTTTTTCTCCTTTGATTATGATGTTAACTGTGGATTATTAGATTTATGGCCTGTATTGTTTCCAGGTAATTTCCTATTATACCTAACTTGTCAACAGTTTTAATCATGAATGGATCTTAAACTTTGTGAAATACTTTTTCTGCGTCTTTTGGGATGATCATGTCACTTTTTTCTTTCATGTAGTTAATGTAGTGTATCACAATGGTTTATTTGCATATGTTTAACTATCCTTACATGCCAGGGAAAAATCCCATTTGGCCATGATGTATAATCCTTTTAATGTAGTGTTTAATTCAGTTTGCTAGAATTTCACTGAAAACTTAGGCCACAAAATGTCTTTCCATATTGAAGATCGAAATTGTCATCCAAAAGACTACCAGGATGGGTAAATAGTAGAGAGGAGAGCTTTATTGACAATATTGGTTTGCAAGCCAAGAAGAGACAGTCTTGAGTGTGCCAGAGAGGAGAAGGACATGTTGAGTTTTATGCCACGCAGGGCCGGTATCACACAGTAAAGTCATACATATTCAGCCAGTTTGGGGGAAAAGCTATATATATTTATGAGGGGAGCTGAGTGTGTGAGCAATCTATAACGTATCTATATCTATAACTTACATCTATATCTATAACTTACATCTCATTTTCACTTGGGGTGGGGTTTTAGCATTATAATGGGGTGAAATTTGGCTCTTTACATAAAAGGTAAACTATAAGACATGGAGTTTGTGTGCAGCCTCTATAAGCCATCTGAAACTGGCTTATGGTCTGCAGTAGTTTATCAGAAGAGATGTTTGTAAGGCCATTCCTTTGTCCAATCAGAGTTGTAGTAGTCTGGGTTATAAATCAGAGTTAGGAAAGGTCTGATAATTTGCCTGATAGTGCCTATTATTAGGGTTTAACAAGAGAGTGGTTTTTCTTGTACTTTAGGAATTTAGAAATTTGCCAAGACAGCTAGGCCCTGAACCTTCAGCTAGTTAACTTTGTTTCTTTAGTTTTATGGTCCATTTTAGTTGATAAAGAGTCATCTATTTTGGTCTTTCTCACCATAATGAAATGAAACCAGGAATTGGTAACAGTAAAAAAAAAAAAAAGTTTTAATTTTGACCAAGTTGGATTTCCCAATTTTTTATTTTAAAATTTATGTATTGTTAAGAAAGCTTTGACAAATTTATGGTTACTGAGATTTTATCTTATGCTTCCTTTTTAAAACATTAGTTTCAACACTAAATTTCTAACTATGATGATCCATTTCATGTTAATTTTTGTACATAGACTAAGGATTAAAGATTTTTGTTTTTGTGTGTGTATATACATATAAAATGTGTTGTTTTGTGTATATATTATATATATATATTATATATATATATATATATATATATATATATATATATTTTTTTTTTTTTTTTTTGAGTTGGAGTCTTGCTCTGTTACCCAGGCTGGAGTGCAGTGGTGCAATCTCAGCTCACTGCAAGCTCCACCTCCCAGGTTCACAACATTTTTTTCCCTCAGCCTCCTGAGTAGCTGGGACTACAGGTGCCTGCCACCACACCCTGCTAATTTTTTCTATTTTTAGTAGAGATGGGGTTTCACTGTGTTAGCCAGGATGATCTCAGTCTCCTGACCTCGTGATCCACCCACCTCGACCTCCCAAAGTGCTGGGATTACAGGCATGAGCCACCGTGCCTGGCCTTTTTTTCTTTCTTTTTTTTTTTTTTTTAAAGACAGAGTTTCACCCAGGCTGGAGTGCAGTGATGTGATCATAGTTCACTATACCCTTGATCTCCTGGGCTCAAAGAATCTTCCTACCTCAGCCTCCCAAGCTGAGACTACAGGCATAAGCCACTGCATTTGGCTGTCTTTCTCCATTAAATCGTGTTGGTACTTTGGTCAAAATCAATTTTCCATATATTTGGGAGCATATTTTCCCACTCTGTAATCTGTTATATTGATCATTATTATCATCTTTATGTAAATATTCAGGATCTTAATTACTATAGTCTATATTAGCTTTTGAAATCAGAGAGTGTATATTTTACAACTTTGCTCTCTTTCAGAGTTGTTCCAGATATTCTAGGGCCTTTGCATTTCCATATGAATTTTAGAATCAGCTTGTCAATTTCCTCCCAGAAAATATGCTAGGATTTTACTGGGGTTTCACTGAATCTCTAAATGAATTTGGGGAGAAGCGATTAAACAAGATTATGTGCTCTCGTATATGCACATGGTATATCACCCTATTTATTTAGATCTCTAATTTGTGATAGCCAAGTTTTGTAGTTTTTGTTAAGTTCTAGTACACTTTTAAATATTTCTTTAAGTGTTTCATATTTCAACAACTATTGAATATAATATTGTCTTATTAAAATTCATTTTGGGCCTGGGGTGGTGGCTCATTCCTGTAATCCCAGCACTTTGGGAGACCAAGGCGGGCGAGGCGAGGCGATCAAGACCTTCCTGGCTAACACGGTGAAACCCCGTCTCTACTAAAAACACAAAAAAATTAGCCAGGCATGGTGGCACACAACTGTAATCCTAGCTACTCGGGAGGCTGAGGCAGGAGAATGGCGTGAACCCAGGGGGCAGAGCTTGCAGTGACCCGAGATTGCACCACTGCATTCCCGTCTGGGCGACAGAGTGAGATTCCGTCTCAAAAAAAAAAATTCATTTTGATGCATAGACATATTTAAATGTATGCCTTTAATTCTATAAAGTTGCTAAAATTTAAAAAAATTTTAGTATTTTTAGATTATTTATATAGATAATAATGTAGACTGTGGATAATAACAATTTTATTCTTTTTCATTCAAACTGTGGGTATATTTTATTTATTTTTCTTGTCTTTTTGCAATGGCTCTTATACAATGTTGAACGGTAATTATTAGAATAGATAGGCTTTACTTATTTCTGATGAAGTGGTAGATATTCAGTTTTTACCATTAAGCATGATATTAGTTATATAATATTTGTCTGTTTTTATTAATGCCTTTTTTTAATGTATATGTTAAGCATCTTATCTTTAGAATTACTTTTGTTGTTGTTGGGGTGGAGATTTGCTCTTTGTTGCACAGGCAGGAGTGCAATGGTATGATCTCAACTCACTGCAACCTCAGCCTCCCGGGTTCAAGCGATTCCCCTGCCTCAGCCTCCAGAGTAGCTGGGATTACAGGCATGCGCTACCAAGCCCGCTAATTTTGTATTTTTAGTAGAGACGAGGTTTTGCCATATTAGTCAGGCTGGTCTTGAACTCTGGACCTCAGGTGATCTACCCACCTTGGCCTCCCAAAGTGCTGGGATTACAGGCGTGAGCCACTGCATCCGGCCCTAGAGTTACTATTTTTTTTAACTGCTTTATTTAGGTATGATAAGCACGTAAAAAGTTGTAGATATTTAATGTATATATCTCCATGAGTTTGAAGATAAGTATACACCCATGAAACTATCACTACCATCACGGCTATAGGTTTATCCACCACCTCCCAAAGTTTCCTTCCACCACCTTTATTTTATTATTTCATTTTTGTGATAAGAACATTTAACATAAGATAAAAGTTCTTAGAAAATTTTAAGTTTACTATACAATATTGCTAACTATAGGCACTATGCTGCATAGTGGATTATTGGAACTTATCTTGCATAACTGAAATTTTACTATAGATGTTCTTCAAAAATTAAAAATGTAATAACTGTATGTTTGAACTGTCCCACTTCAAATATTTATCCAAAGGAGGTGAAGTCAGAATCTTAAAGATAAACCCAAACTCACATATTCTTTTTAGCATTATTCAAAATAACTATGATATGGAAACAAACTGAATGCACATCAGTGGATTAGTGCATAAGGAAAGCATGGTGTATACACACAATGGAATATTATTCTGCCTTAAAAGAGAAAGAAATTCTACCACTTGAGACAACATAAATGGACCTGAAGTACATCATAAGAAAAATAAGCTTGTTTCTGTAAATACCTTTTATCAGGTTGATGAAGGTTTTATGTATTTCCAAACTGCTGATCATTTTTAATGATGAATGGAGGATTGTTTTTCACTTTTTTTCTGTATATATTGATTACATTTTTTTTATTTTGTGAGAATGTAAACATAGTAGGTCACATTCATTTTGGATGTTGAACCAACCTTGCATTTCTGACCTGAAATTCACTTTATCACAATGGATTACTCTTTTCACATGTTGTTGGAGTAAATTTTCCAAATTTTTTTGAAGAATTTTTGATTATGTTGGTAAGATATAATAATTTGCAGTTTTATATTTTTTGTAATATTTTTATGAATTAGTGAAATATCCAACTATAATTATGGATTTTTTCCTCATTTAGTTCTATCAATGTTACCTCATTTATTTTGAGGCTAAGGTATTTTGCACAAAATCATTTAAAATTGTTATGTATTATTGAGTAATTGAGGCTTTATCATTATTTACAATTTCCCTTTTCTTCCATAAACTCTTTGCTCTAAATCTACTTCATCTGATACAGTATTGTTATTCTAGTTTTCTTCGGATTAGTATTAGTAAAATAATTATTTTATATTTAAAGACAATCTATTTGTGTCTTTACATATAAATCTTTACATATAAAGTGGGTTTCTTGTAGACAGCTGAGAATTTGGTCTACACTTTTTTAGCCATTATGATGTTCATAGAGTTTTAACTGGAATTTTTAGAACATTCGCATCAAAATTGAATTATAAATTTTACAATATTCTTATGTTTCAATTTTCTCTACTTTATTTAGCTTTTTAAGTATAACTTTTTAATTTATATTTTAGTGATGTTTTAGTGTATCTTTATTCTAGTCTTAAATATAGTTTTATATCATTATAGTTGACTTCCAAGTATTTTCATACTACTTCACACTTGTATTATAAAAATGTTACAGCAGGTACTTCTTTTCTTCTTATTATTATGCTTTAAGTTCTGGGGTACATGTGCAGAATGTGCAGGTTTGTTATATAGGCATACACATGCAATGGTGGTTTGCTGCACCCATCAACCTTCATGTGCAGAATGTGCAGGTTTGTTATATAGGCATACACGTGCAATGGTGGCTTGCTGCACCCATCAACCTGTCATCTACATTAGGTATTTCTCCTGATGCTATCCCTCCCCTAGCCCCCTACCCCCACCAGGTCCCGATGTGTGATGTTTCCCTCCCTGTGTCCGTGTGTTCTCATTGTTCAAGTCCCACTTATGAGTGAGAACGTGCAGTGTTAGGTTTTCTGTTCTTGTGGTAGTTTGCTAAGAATGACAGTTTCCAGCTTCATCCATGTCCCTGCAAAGGACATGAACTCATCCCTTTTTATGGCTGCATAGTATTCCATGTTGTATATGTGCCACATTTTCTTTATCCAGTCTATTATTGATGGGCATTTGGGTTGGTTCCAAGTCTTTGCTTTTGTGAATAGTGCTACAAGAAACATACATGTGCATGTGTCTTTATAGTAGAATGATTTATAATCCTTTGGGTATATACCCAGTAATGGAATTGCTTGGTCAAACGGTGTTTCTTGCTCTAGACCCTTGGGGAATCGCCACACTGTCTTCCACAATGGTTGAACTACTTTACACTGCCACCAATGGTGTAAAAGCGTTCCTATTTCTTCACATCCTCTCCAGCATCTGTTGATTCCTGACTTTTTAATGGTTGCAGTTCTAACTGGTGTGAGATGGTATCTCATTGTGGTTTTGATTTGCGTTTCTCTCATGACAAGTGATGATGAGATTTTCTTCATATATTCGTTGGCTGCATAAATGTCTTCTTTTGAAAAGTGTCTTTTCGTATCCTTCGCTCACTTTTTGATGGGGTTGTTTGTTGTTTTCTTGTAAATTTAAGTTATTTGTAGATTCCAGATATAGCCCTCTGTCAGATGGATAAATTGCAAAAAATTTCTCCCATTCTGTAGGTTGCCTGTTCACTCTGATGATAGTTCCTTTTGCTGTGCAGAAGCTCTTTAGCTTAATTAGATCCCATTTGTCAGTTTTGGCTTTTGTTGCCATTGCTTCTGGTGGTTTAGTCATGAAGTCTTTTCCAATGCCTATGTCCTGAATGATATTGCCTAGGTTTTCTTCTAGGGTTTTTATGGTTTTAAGTCTTACATTTAGGTCTTTAATCCATCTTGAGTTAATTTTTGTATAAGGTGTAAGGAAGGGGTCCAGTTTCAATTTTCTGCACATGGCTAGCCAGTTTTCCCAACACCCTTTATTAAACAGGGAATCCTTTCCCCATTGCTTGTTCTTGTCAGGCTTGTCAAAGATCAGATGGTGGTAGATGTGTGGTGTTATTTCTGAGGGCTCTGTTCAGATCCATTGGTCTATGTATCTGTTTTGGTACCAGTACCATTAGAGCAGGTACTTCTGTGTTCTCTCTCCCAGCCCCTTTGCTATTGTCCGTATTTTATTTTTACATATATTTTTAAAAATACATTATTCCCCTAAACTGCCATTTGTCTTTTATAGAGAAGTTTCAGAAACAGTAAACTATTTCTTCTTTACTGAAATATGTAAACAAATAAGCTACCACATACTTATTTTTAAAATTGATAGCCAACAGGTTTATATCTTTGTCTTTGTGTTGCCCTATTTAAACAAATTGACTTTTGATTTCATTGACTGTGACGTACTAGTTTTATTACCAATATATGAGGATTCTAGGCCAAATTGGTACATTAAGCAATCAACAAACATACCTGGTCTCATTTTCTTCATCTGTACAATGAGAGATATAGAGACACTGGTAGTAAATGCACACTCACATATATTATCGTGTGGCATATTTAAAAAAGTGTATAAAATTATCTCTGTTATATGCATTCATAAGTTTGGAAACACACAAAAAATCATGTTTTATTCAAATGTCAAAATTTTAATAATATTAGTATTGTTTTTCATGCATATTATACTGAAAGAGAAAAATAATAGAGTGGCATATAATGCATAAACACCATTATCTTATTATGGAAAGAATAGCTCCTCATGAATTCTGCAATTTAAATGCAATATATGAGAAATTAATGATTATATAGCTACATAGAAATAGTTCCAGAAACATTTTAAAGTGATAAAAGTCAGATATAATAATATTGTAAAAATACACCATAACTAAGCTTTTTCATAATGTGTAATCAACAAGCAATTTCTATTTACAGCTCTGATCAGTGCTTTTGTACCTTTCTGATTTAGGCTACAGAACAGCAGGAAAGTTTCACACAAAGTTTCCTAACGAAGTCATTATGTACAATGAGGCTAGAAGTATTGTGAAATAACTAAGAAGCATAAAGGGAAGAAAGTGTTTATCTTCTGTGAATGGATGAATACAGTAATGACATTTCAGAATTGATAAGACCAAGTAAAAGATGTGATAACTAATAATAATATGCTTTATTATCATGCTTAAAATACAAATTACAAATTTGGTTAGAAAATGTCAATGTAACACATAATAGTTCAAACAGTGTATCATAAATCCTTCTGAAATGAGGAAATTGATTTTATACAGTGTTAGATAACAGTCAACACTATTTGGAGTAAAAACTGAATGTATTAAAATTTTGGCTATGATGTCCTGTGTTGCTTAATTTTATGTGTTAACTAGTAATAGGGGTCTCAGATTAGGCATTGTTTCTGGATGTCTGCTTGAGGATATTTTCAGATAAGATTAGCATTTGAATTGGTGAAATAAGTAAAGTAGGTTACCCTCCCCAGTGTGGTGGTCATTATCTAAGCCACTGAAGGCCTGAATAGAACAATAGGAAGAGGAAGGAACAATACATCTCTTTGCTTATTTGAGATAAGACATCTAATTTTATCTCTCTCATCTCAGTTCTTTCTTTCTTTTCTTTTCTTTTTTCTTTTTTTTTTTTTTTTGAAGGATTCTCACTCTGTCGCCCAGGCTGGAGTACAGTGGTGCGATCTCGGCTCACTGCAACCTTCGCCTCCTGGGTTCAAGGGATTCTCCTGCCTCAACCTCCTGAGTAGCAGGTATTACATTTGCCCGCCACCATGCTCACTGTATTTTGGTATTTTTATTAGAGATAGAGTTTCACCATGTTGGCCAGGCTGGTCTCGTATTCCTGACCTCAAGTGATTCACCTGCCTTAGCCTCCTAAAGGGCTGGGATTATGGGCGTGAGCCACCGCATCTCAGACCTATTGGTTGTCTTGAATCTTTAGCTTTCAGATAGCAGATCATGGGACCGGCCGAAGCAATTTAAACCATGCCACTAAATCCAAAAGTATAATCTTGCTGGAGACTGACAATTCTAGGCATTCTTCACCATACTACTTTATTTCCTTCATAGTACAAGTTGGAATTCTAAATTTTCACATTCATGTCATGTTTATTATTGGTCTCACCCTACTGGACTATGTATTTCTTAAGAGTTGGGACATACTGTGCTAGCAGCTGGAAGCCATAATTTTTCATTTCATTTTTTAAAGTTTGTTTTGTGTGTGTGCCTGTGAGGGGGGCAGTGGAGAAAAATGATACATGAGATGGCAGAAATAAATAATTATAGTCTGACTTTTATACTACTGTGCTTCAAGTGGTCTGTATACATTTTAACATCAACTGACAATTAGAGAAATATGTAAGAAAAACAGTTACTAAAGCTGAAGTGTAACTCTATTCTGAAGTGTGATTTGTGGGAACTCTTCTCAGTGGCTAATTTTCAGTAGACTTAGAAGAGTTCTGTGCTTATGTCTTTTTAATGGGAAAGAACAACGATAAGGTAACAAGGATTCCTAAGTCATTTAAAATGAAAATGTAATCATCAATCTGCCACTGATATTAAAAACATTTCATTTTACTTTTTTCTGTTAAATAAGTAAATTATAGCTCATGTATTCAAATATATACAGTTGTACCCAGGCGAGTTAGTGAGAATGCCACACTTTGAGATGAATTAAGAGTCCTTTATTAAGCCGGCGGCCAAAGAGATGGCTAACGCTCAAAATTCTCTCGGCCATGAGGAAGGGGCTCGATTAACTTTTATACCTAGGTTTAGGAAGGGGAGGGGGACTCAAATGTAATAATTCTACAGAAGTAAAAACATGCAAGAATCAAAAAAATCAAAATGGTTACAGAGTGATAAACAACTTAAAAGACAAATGGTTACAAGAAGAGCAACGGTACCAGGTGCAAGGTTCTAAATCTTTCATTATAATTAGATATAGGGTCTATGCCGGACACAAACTCAAGGTTTTATGTTGTTATCTCTTGGAGGAAAATTCCTGGGAACTTCATATATTGTTGGTGCTAGTACCTTATCAGTTAATTGGGCTCCTTTAAAATGCTGAGGATCTGTTTACCCAGGCCAACTCCTTACGAAAGGGGGTTGGGTGAGGAGCCCTTAGTGTCTTGTAAATTAAGGGGTCAGTTGGAGTTTGTCCGGTTTTCCTAGCTAGAGAGAGTCTTATTTACATGAGAAGCAAGGCTAGGTGATTAAAGAGACAAGCAGGACAAAATTCAAAGTAACGAGTTAAAGTAAAAACAAGGTTAGGCCTTTCATATTGTTATATAGTTTTATGTATATTTAAAACATTAAATATATAATTAACAAT
This sequence comes from Homo sapiens, assembly GCF_000001405.40. Lineage (NCBI taxonomy): Eukaryota > Metazoa > Chordata > Mammalia > Primates > Hominidae > Homo > Homo sapiens. The sequence goes on along the minus strand of NC_000011.10, from coordinate 97,636,741 downwards.
ATTATATACAGCTATATTATTATATTTTATATACTGTATAAAATATATACATACATATATATTTCAAACTATATATTTTTGATCTGCCTGCCTCAGCCTCCTGAAGTACTGGTATTACAGATGTGAGCGTATCATGCCCGACTGAAACTTTTTATTGATTGCAAGAGTGGAAAATAAAAATGAAATTCAAGAAATAATGTCTTAAAAACCAACTTTAGAAATACTAATGTTGTCAATTATCAATTATTGGGACTAATTTAGGTCATTTTAAAATGTAGAAAATGATTTTATTTCTTTCCTCAAACTCATAAACTAGATTTGGGTTTCCTGGCGTAGGATGCACTTTTGCTCATCTGTAGTGAAATATTCTTTATCTCACTATCATGATATGGAATAACTTACATTCCTTCTATATTTTTCTCTTTCTTAGCTAGTGAGAAAGGAAGATACACTCTGGACACATTGTAAATATTGCACTTTTAAATTTTAGATAAGGAACACAATCTTTACATTTAGTTCGTTTTCATCTAGATTCAGATTTCACCTCATGATTAGTGCTTCAACATTTTCCAAGAAAAAAAAATAACTTCAACAGGGGCATGTCCAAGGAAATTTCCCAGTATGTAATTGCATAATTTTACTGATATCAGTATGTACAAAAGAATCACTATTCATTAGACTTATAGTATCAGATTTATTTAAGCTGAACATGAATGTGGTTTCTAGTTCACTTTTCAAACATTAGTTTATTTCTTCCCCAGTGTTCAGTAAACTAGCATTATATTACTTGATGGTGAATAAAAAATTGTGAGGGACATGATTGCTTCATTCATTATTTTAATCAATAGTTTACTAGTCCTGAACTGATCACATAGTGTTACATGAGTTTGTAATTTAGTTGTGAAAAAGAGAGCACAGAATGTGAAAGACAAATACTAGGAGACAACAATTTAGATAAGATCTCAATAGTCTATTATTTACTTCCAACTAAACATTAACAAAATAACAAGTATTCCCCCAAGACATTTAGAGATTTGCTTCTATAAGAATATGTCAAAACACATCCCCTCTGTATTATGAAAATCAGCTGTGATATTAGTATATTTCCTTAGTACTCTTTAAATTCTAGGTTTTTAAAAAATTAATTAGATAAAAATAACTTCTTCCTTCCTTCCTTCCTTCTTTCCTTCCTTCCACCATTCCTTCTGAAACTATTCCAATCAATAGAAAAAGAGGGACTCCTCCCTAACTCATTTTATGAGGCCAGCGCCATCCTGATACCAAAGCCTGGCAGAGACACAACAAAAAAAGAGAATTTTAGACCAATATCCCTGATGAACATCCATGCAAAAATCCTCAGTAAAATACTGGCAAACTGAATCCAGCAACACATCAAAAAGCTTATCCACCACGATCAAGTTGGCTTCATCCCTGGGATGCAAAGCTGGTTCAATATACACAAATCAATAAATGTAAGCCATCATATAAACAGAACCAAAGACAGAAACCACATGATTATCTCAATAGATGCAGAAAAGGCCTTTTACAAAATTCAACAACACTTCATGCTAAAAACTCTCAATGAACTAGGTATTGATGGGACGTATCTGAAAATAATAAGAGCTATTTATGACAAACCCACAGCCAATATCTTACTGAATGGGCAAAAACTGGAAGCATTCCCTTTGAAAACTGGCACAAGACAGGGATGCCCTCTCTCAACACTCCTATTCAACATAGTGTTGGAAGTTCTGGCCAGGGCAATCAGGCAGGAGAAAGAAATAAGGGGTATTTAATTAGGAAAAGAGGAAGTCAAATTGTCCCTGTTTGCAGATGACATGATTGTATGTCTAGAAAACCCCATTGTCTCAGCCCCAAATCTCCTTAAGCTGATAGGCAACTTCAGCAAAGTCTCAGGATACAAAATCAATGTGCAAAAATCACAAGCATTCCTCTACACCAATAACAGACAAACAGAGAGCCAAATCATGAGTGAACTCCCATTCACAATTGCTTCAAAGAGAATAAAATACCTAGGAATCCAACTTACAAGGGATGTGAAGGACCTCTTCAAGGAGAATTACAAACCACTGTTCAACGAAACAAAAGAGGACACAAACAAATGGAAGAATATTCCATGCTCATGGATAGGAAGAATCAATTTCGTGAAAATGGCCATACTGCCCAAGGTAATTTATAGATTCAATGCCATCCCCATCAAGCTACCAGTGACTTTCTCCACAGAATTGGAAAAAACTACTTTAAAGTTCATATGGAACCAAAAAAGAGCCCGCATTGCCAAGACAATCCTAGGCCAAAAGAACAAAGTTGGAGGCATCATGCTATCTGACTTCAAACTATATTACAAGGCTACAGTAACCAAAACAGCATGGTACTGGTACCAAAACAGAGATATAAACCAATGGATCAGAACAGAGCCCTCAGAAATAATACCACACATCTAGAACCATCTGCTCTTTGACAAACCTGACAAAAACAAGAAATGGAGAAAGGATTCCCTATTCAATAAATGGAGCTGGGAAAACTGGCTAGCCATATGCAGAAAGCTGAAACTGGATCCCTTCCTTACACCTTATACAAAAATTAATTCAAGATGGATTAAAGACTTACATGTTAGACCTAAAACCATAAAAACCCTAGAAGAAAACCTAGGCAATACCATTTAGGACATAGGCATGGACAAGGACTTCATGACTAAAACACCAAAAGCAATGGCAGCAAAAGCCAAAATAGACAAATGGCATCTAATTAAACTAAAGAGCTTCTGCACAGCAAAAGAAACTACCATCAGAGTGAATAGGCAACCTACAGAATGGGAGAAAATTTTTGGAATCTACCCATCTGACAAAGGGCTAATATCCAGAATCTACAAAGAAATTAAACAAATTTACAAGAAAAAATCAAACAACCCCATCTACAAGTGGGAGAAGGATATGAACAGACACTTCTCAAAAGAAGACATTTATGCAGCAAACAGACACATGAAAAGTACTCATCATCACTGGCCATCAGAGAAATGCAAATCAAAACCACAATGAGATACCATCTCACACCAGTTAGAATGGAGATCATTAAAAAGTCAGGAAACAACAGGTGCTGGAGAGGATGTGGAGAAATAGGAAAACTTTTACACTGTTGGTGGGACTGTAAACTAGTTCAACCATTGCGGAAGACTGTATGGCGATTCCTCAAGGATCTAGAACTAGAAATACCATTTGACTCAGCCATCCCATTAGTGGGTATATACCCAAAGGATTATAAATCATGCTGCTATAAAGACACATCCACACGTATGTTTATTGCAGCACTATTCACAATAGCAAAGACTTGGAACCAACCCAAATGTCCATCAATGATAGACTGGATTAAGAAAATGTGGCACATATACACCATGGAGTACTATGCAGCCATAAAAAAGGATGAGTTCATGTCCTTTGCAGGGACATGGATGAAGCTGGAAACCATCATTCTGGGCAAACTATCACAAGGACAGAAAACCCAACACCACATGTTCTCACTCATAGGTGGGAATTGAACAATGAGAACACATGGACACAGGGTGGTGGACATCACACACCAGGGCCTGTCATGAGCTGGGGGTATGGGGGAGGGATAGCATTAGGAGAAATACCTAATGTAAATGGTGAGTTAATGGGTGCAGCACATGAACATGGCACATGTATACATATGTAACAAACCTGCATGTTGTGGACATGTACCCTAGAACTTAAAATATAATATAAAAGCTCTATCAAAGAAAAAAATAAAAATAAAAATAACTGTAGAAGCAGATCAAGTTAATAAGCCCTACATCAATCCATAAACTGGATTTTCTGGTTCTAGAATTTTCTATTCCTATTTTAATTCATCTAAACAGTGTTTCAAAATCCTTCATCTCCTTTGATTTCTCATTTTTCTTTCATGTCTGATCAATTATCAAGGACAGGCCAGACGTGGTTGCTCTTGTCTGTAATCCTAGCATTTGGGAGGTGAAGATGGGAGGATTGCTTGAGGCCAGGAGTTCAAGACCAGCCTGGCCAATGCGGTGAGGCCTTATATCTACAAATAAGTAAGTAAATAAGTAAATATCAAGGACAAATTATTTATCCTTTCTATTTTCAATGCCAGATTTATACATTTTTTTTTATATGGCTATAGTAAGAATTCTGTACCTGGCCTTACCTTCAGTATCTTCTATCTCTCATCCATTCCAGTCTATATGTCATCTGATGTTATTATTCCTAAATCATGGTCCTGTTTACATTATTAACTTATTCTAAAACCATCAGTGGTTTTCTATTATCTAGTGAATAAATAAAAATAATGTTGAATACATAAGACTATTGCAATCATATTTCAAAGCATATTAGAGCATAAACCATATAGAAATAACTTTTCTCCCACCGTAATGCAATTCTGACATGAACTGCTCAGAGATAGACTAAGTTTCACAACTTGAGGGCACAGTGCTTCACAAGACTGCCGCCATTAAAGAAACGTATCACAATCTTGGATGTCCCCAGGCCACCTGGAGTACTGACCAACTACTACAAATTTGGAGGTCCCCACCACCTCCTTTGGATTAATGACTCACAGAACTCAGCAAAATAATATATTTAGGATTAGAGTTTTATTATACCGAAAAGGATAAAAATTAAGATCACCCAAAAGACAAGACACATAAGGGAGGTCTGGGAGGTTCCCAAAGTGCAAAGCTTCCATGTAGTCTGGACACATTACCCTTAAAGCACATTGCTTAGTTTTAAGACAAGTAGAGTATTATTAAGGAGGAAAGCTCACTGTTGCTTTGGCCTAAGGTGTTCAGAGTTTTTATCGGAGTTTCATTACATAGGCATGATTGATTAATCATCACTCACATGGCTCAGTCTCCAGTTCTTTAGCTCCCAGAGGTTGGGCTGATATTCTGTGGCTCAAATCCCCAAACTTTTAATCAGTTTACCGGTCTTTCTGGCATGACTAGCTCCCATCCTGGGCAACCTTGTTAGCATAAACTCAGGTGTGGTCTGAGGGGACCACCATGAATGGCACAGACACCTCAATTACTTGGAAAATTCCTAATATTTAGAGACCCTCCCCTAGGAATCAAGGGCAAAGGCTAGCCAATTCTTATTTTGTAATACCAGTCAGACGAAACAGTTTTCTCAATATTCGTTCCCATTTTGTCTTTACTCTAAAATCTGCTTTATTGTCTCCACATGCAGAAATGCTACCCTTTCTACAAATCTCATCACAAACACTTCAGTAGCACATTCCTCGATTACCTCAATTGCAGGCACTTTTTAACTTGAGCAGCTTTTGTTTTGTGACTCTTACTATACTTGTTGCATACAAACAAATCTTAAAATTATACACTCTACTAAACTATAGATTACTTAAAAAATTATGCCATTCATCTTTTTATTTCAATAATATTCAGCAAAGAATTATTCACATAATACTTGCTCAGATATTTAATGAAATTGTTCATATTGATTGGATCACTACTTTGAGAGTCATTAGACAAGGAAAGAAAATATAAAAAAAAACCATAAATAATAAGATTGATTTCTCACCCCAAGATGTTTTTACTCCTGAAGAGAGGTGAGTCTTATTGAGAAAGGACAACAATTAGGCCATGGATCTAGAGAGAAAAATTACATATACAGGAAAAGAGCTTAAAAATAACTTGTAGGACATATGATTTTGTGACCTTAAATGTTTGTGAATATTCTCCATTTGAAATTCAAGTCTCCTCTATAGCTTTTGAAGTAAATAGAAACATAGATATTATTCCTTCTCCTTTAGAAAGCCAAGATATAACTCACTTGGACACCTGGCTACAAGGTGCAAGAAACCGACAAGTTTGGTCTGTTTCAAGTCTAAGTAGATTAAGTTCTCGATGGTCACAAAGCCTGAATTGTAGCTACATATGATTTTAGACTAAAAGTCATAGCAAATATTTGGCTCCCTTTTGAAGTAGTATTATAATACCTTTTTAGGGGACAGAAAGTAGTAACTTCTTATTTGCCTCTGACGAACCTAGCAAGGTAAAGTTAGCTGGCTGTTTGGCATAGATTATATCTGGCACAGCTAGAAGGATCATATAGCTGTTATTCTGTAAGCATTTATTTGTTCACACTTTTTGATTAGGTGAGAAACATAACTAATAAAACCCTTTACATTTTTATTGTAGTGAGTTAGAACATAAGTAGAATATGATGTTTCTCAATCAGAGGTTTGCCTAAAATATTTTCTGTATTCCCTAATTTTGTCCTTTGTGTTAAAGCTAATTGTTTTCAACTAGAAAATACTAACAATAACACAGATTTATAGCTCCTTATTTTCTATGCAATAACTGGCATCTGTTAAGATCATGAATACATTTCTTAATCTTTCTGAGCCAATTTTCTTATCTATAAGCTTACAATGATAATTCTTTCTACAAAGTTTTGTTGTGAGCATAAAATGTGTTCCCACATCTAAAAGATACTTACTGAGTTGTTAGCATGCAGCATTTAATCCCAACATCTTAGCTCTGCCCATCACAATGCCTTGAAACAGATCGGTATTGAATTCTATTTTTTTAAAACGTTCAAACATACCATTCTTGTGTCAACATAGATTTTAAGAAATTGTAAACTTGAACATAAATAATCCATTTATTATCATCTTGTTATGTTTCCTCATTAAAATGTTCTCTAATTATTCACAAGACTAAGTACCATTCATACATAAAAAGGACCTGACTTGGATGAATCATTAACTTAGGACTGGAAGTGAAATATCTTTTTACAAAGGAAAATGTTTGCATTTGAGCAAGCTGTGTGCAGCAGCTAATGGGAGTGGAATTAAGAAGAAAAGGTGTAAGTTTAAAAATATCTTCCTACAAAAACAGAAGATGAGAAAGAATAGAAAAATTCCCTAGGGATGCAGCATGCAACAAAATTTGAGTCTGCTAATAAGAAAGGCTATGAAAATCAGTCAATAAGAAAAGGTCCCTGATTAATGCTGTCCATATGGTTTCTCTAGACCCATTTGACATTTTTCTATGTAGAGTATTCAACTTGAAATCAGGTTGGAACCATAATCTATACAGTTGTGTGATTCTTTTGCTTTTATTGTTTTCATTTGATGGCATAGATAAATTTCAGAAGGCCTGTATGAAATAGAGAAAAAAGCACTAAGCAAAGCTGTTAGTCATTTTCTAGAGTAGTGTGGAAAACTTCACTGCAGAAGAAAAAATACACGATTAGGATTCATTTTTGTAAAACCTTGCTTTTTTTCCGTGAATATTTATTTTGACATTATATATCTCATAAATTTGCCTGACGAAAATTGGGAAACAATATCATTTATTCTGTCATCTCATTCACACAAAAAAACAGTTCTCATAGTTATAATTTTACCAGGAAAATCACTTACAAATGTTTGGGAACACGAGGGGAAAATATCCAGCTTTTAAGTACATGTAGTGGGAAAAATTGGTAGTTTGCCTCTAGTCTCACTGGTATTTATGATTTAAAACCTCACTTTATGTTCCACTTCTAATCAAATCTAAAGTTTTAAAAAAGTACAATGCAATAATGTTGTCACATTGAGTCAATCCAAAGCATTGTTTCTATTGGCATTTATTTATTAGAATCTGAGGTTCCCATTCAGGTTTTAGCAGGTAGTCATCCTTACAGTGCAGGAACATTCCATCAGTTAGTACTACGCTGTGCCTTTTTAGTCATCTCTTCAGATAAAGAAAATTAGAAACAATATAAAAACTGATATATATTCTTACCAGGTACTGGAATCATTCATGTTTTAGTAATTTTGGAGACTTTTTCAAATTGTATGCATAATTTTATTATTTTTCATAAAGGTCTTAGGCATTAATTAATTTCAAGGTAATTATTTAAATAATACACAAAATACACAAAGATGTACTAAATTTAAAAAGCACTTTAGCTTCTTTCACACATATATCAAGATATGCTTGTCTGAGATGTGAAAACACCACAAAAGTAGATGGAAATTTGATTATTTATATAAGCAAAACTGGTATTTGTGAATTACCATACATGTGTACACAAAATGAGTAATATACAGAAAAATGATTGTGTGTTTTAATTTGAACACTATATGTGAATTTAAAAACATTTTAGGAAATTTTGCATATTATCTTTGACTTCAAGGTGTCTTCTCTGCTTAGGCCATTCTATATATGCTGAACTAAAATATTTCTTGTATTTTCCACAATGTCAATTTATTAAACACTCAATTTTAGAAAATATATAGCATTTATTTTGTGTATGAGTGTTAGGGGTTGGGGGAAGACTGAGTAAAAGGGATGAAAGCCTCAGGAACTTGTATAGAGTTTGAAAAAGCCTTAAGGCATTTTGATAAGTTTTTTTTCTATAGTTTTTCCCCAAACAAGATTGAGAACCACGTATAATGAACATTCAATATTTTATATTTTAAAACTTAGAATATCAATCTTTTTTTTTATTTTTTTACCTTTCTTTTATTTATAAGAGGAATAGTATAGCATATTGGTCATACATTCAAGCCTGGAACCATACCATGTGGGTTTGGCATGTTGAAAGCTTATATTCTGGTGAATTTTCAGTTTTCCTGGTGTTGATACAGTTACAGCAAGCAGGGGCCTAACTTCCGCTCTCTTGCTTTAACCATGGCTCAGAGGTTTGGACAGGGCTGGGAATGACAGTGGACAGTCACCAGTCCTGGGGATTGACAGTTCTGAGGTTATATAAGAATGCATTTCACTAGCTTAATTATGAAGCAAATTAGATTCACAGCATTTCACTTTCTCTTATGTCATAGGGCGATGATTGAGAAGGAATAGAATTTTAAAACTGAGTTAAGAGCACATAGGCAGATTCCTCTAAAGATGAAAATTTTAAATTTTTAATTTTTCCTGAAATTTTTTTGGCTCTAGAAACAGCTCCCCTTTCCTATTTGAGTAGGTAAATTTCCACTTGCCTGCAGAAAGGAAAATGAGCATTCATGAGGCAGCTGCTTTACAAGGGATGCTAGTTCTCTTTAAACTCTTCGTTATCTTTCATTGCTTCTATATGTACAACCAAACAATATTCCTCTCAGGCTAAAGGGATGGAAACATAGATATAGGTAGATGATCAGATGTAGATAGAGATAGACACAAATGGAGACATTTATATACATAAACATAAATATAATATAAATTTATACATAAATATATATGGAGACATATACATATGTGTGTGTGTGTATATATATATTCACACTTTGTTGTCATTCTAAGAAGGCTATCCATCCATCTTTTCCCAAGAACTACTCAGAGCCAGTTTTCAATTGTGTTCCTTCCAAGTCCTTGACTGTGGACACTGCTTTAAATTCTGTCCACTGGGATGATTCATTTTCAAGACTGTAATGCAAACGCTGAGCAAAGTTGTAATGATACTGCTGTCCACTTCCAGGTAATGGCAGAATATTGTTCAGTATTCTCTGTAAACCAGACCCAATTTTTTGTTCCTCTATCAACTGTTCATAGCGAAAACCTCAGGAGACCACAGATGTGGACTGAGACAGAGGCAGGGATATTGCAGAAAAAGTGTACATATGAATTGGAGTCACTTGCTCATGCAACTTATGTGTACCTTGAGGACCTGCTGAAGCCAGATATTGTATATATCGTTTCCATTTGATGACAGGATGATGCTTTGTATACCCAACTTTATTGCCTGGGAAGCTAGATTATGTCCAGTTTATGATGAGCAGCTCATGTTACATCAAAACTTTGCAACCTATGGCCAAACACTTAGTCCTTACCAAGGCCCAGTAGCAAGCCAACATTTGTTGTTAAAGAGAATACTTTGCTGCAAAGGGTGGAATCACCTTGTTCAGGAATTTCAGAGGTCTACACTGCTCGTCATTTACTTCAGTCTGGCAAAAGTTCCACAGAGCATTGCTATCTTTGACAACATTAGACCGGCTGAGTCATGTGGCTCAAGTAGGGGAGCAGCTTGCATGGCAACCATGGACTGTACGAGAGTGTTCTTTTTACTTTGTTTTACTAAAACACAAAAAGCATCCTTTTATATGCCATTAAACTAACATAAAAAGAAAGGGACTACTTTACTGCTTGGGGTAATTAATCTTGAAAATCAAGGGGGAACTATTATTGCATAACAGAGAAACACATTAAGTGTCTAGAATCCTAGTAATCCTTTGCAGTTCCTTTTAGCATTTTCATGTCTTGCAGTGTAAGCTAAATTGAAACTACACCACCCAATGCAGGCAAAACTACAAATGTACTAGGTCTTTCAATAAGGAAGGTTTGGTTCACCCCAGCAGAAAAGAGGCCACAACTAGCAAGGGAGATTATATCTATATGTATATCTATCTATCTATATCTACCTATATCATCTATATCTATATCTATATCTATGTGTGTGTGTGTGTGTGTGTGTGTGTGTACGCACGCATGTGTGTGTATAAAATAGTTGCGAACTGAAGACAGAAGTTAGGAATCCAAACTATGACCATATATGATTGGCAGAATTCTAAAATAGTTTCGTAGTCCAAATCCCAGGTGTCCCCTTTGAGTGTGGGATAGACTGTGAATATGATGGATTTCAGTGACATAGTTAGATTATATTACATACAAAGATGATTGAATTTTATAGGTGTTTGAGCTCATCTAAAGGGAGTTATTCTAGAGACCTGACAATCAGAGAAAGCCTGTAAAAGGGGGATTGGGGTCTTCCTTGAGAGAGATTCCTCTTCTGACTTTGAAGAAGTAAGGTGCAATATTGTGAAAAGGTCAAGGTGATGAGACCTGTGGATGGAATCTAAGAGCTAAGAGTGATCCTTAGCCACGAGACAAGAAAGTAGAGACCTCAGTCATATAACCACATGAAACCAAATACTTCCAATAGCCACATGAGCTTAGGACAGGACACCAGGCATCAGAAGGGAGAGAAGGCTGGCTCCAATCATTATTTCAGCTTGTGAGACCTTGAACGGAGAACCCAGTTATGCTAGCCTAGTATCTCAATGATAAGACCGTGAGATAATAAATGGATGTTTTCTAAGCCATGAAATTTGTGGTAATTTGTTACACATAACAGAATGACCAGTTAATGAAAATATGACTAGTTATGGAAATAAAAACAGTACTATTTGTATGTCTTTCCTGTATTTATTAATATTAATATATTTGTATACATGTGTATATTATTTTCCCTTCTCACTGCTGTTACATGACATATGTTAATATTATCTGTATTAATTTACCACATATCAAAGACAGGTTGAATCAGCTTGAGGAAAAATAAACATTACCCTATTATGGCTAAAGTAACATATGTCATCATATATTCTCTTTGGGAGAAAGTTGATATGTATTTATTTATTTGACCTAATGTTTTATTAGGTTAATACATGTTTTTTCTATTTCTTCATTTGGATGTTAAATAAGACTATCAAATGAGGCATGTATGAATGACAAATTCAGAAATGGTAGACAGTAGTTGATTGTGTTAGTCAACATATATTTGAAGCTGGTAACTACATTCCCATAATCCCCTTCCATTTAAGCCTCTGGGGTAGAGTTGGCCACAAAGGAACTTGAGTGTAATGTGATGGTAAAAGTAAGAAGCAGCCACTATTACCAAATGGTTGTAATGATAAGTTATGTAGTTAGAGAGACACAGATTTATCCAAATGGTCTCAGCTCATCCGCTTTTCTCTGTCTTCATTGAGCTTATCTTCTCAACTTTTGTCTCTGTGCGGAGCACACATGTTTTAACTTTATAGAGGTAACAGTTCCCAACAGACAGTTCCTCAAGCTCCCATTTCACAATTTCTCACTTCAGTGATCTGACATATTTGCTTGTCAAAATTTCCCTGCAAGGTCTCGGTTTATTTCCTGTGAGCTAGTAATTCACTCTTTTTCTGATTTTGTAACATTCCTTTCATTCCTTCAGTTCCCCCAGATTCTTCTATATTTGTGTAAAGTCTAATTAACTATAAGAAATCTCTTATTCCTATAACAATTGTAAGAACTCTGCCTCTCTGACCAAACTATGATTGACACAGAGTAATATTAAAAGGGGTGTATTTAACTATTTTCACAATCTCATAATAGAAGAAATGATGGAATTTCAAAGACCAGTGGTAGGAGCTGGACAAAGGATTTTAAAAAGACAATATTTCATTTTAAATGTGCAAAGTGTTGTCCTGTACTGTAAATATGCAAATTGATTGCTCTATTTTTTCAGTAAAATGTTGCCTCCCTGTGTTTGTGGTCTTTCAAGGAATAAAAGAATAAAAGAATTACAGGGCTAGCTAGCAGTGAGAGATACACAAAAGGAAATAAAATGTATAAAAGAGGAAATCAATACAGAAGATACTACAGAAATAGCCTTGAAGCAGAAGGAACCAGGAACAACATTAGCCACCCACTACTCTTCAAAGGCTGCCACAAATATTCTATAATAGCCTTACTATATTTTACTTTGTATTATAGTTATTTGTGAATATCTCTTATTTTACTAACTAAATTATCAGCTTTTATATGCCTTCAAGAAAGAACGTGTCATACCTATTTTTCTATTGGCTAATCACCCCTTTAACCCCTCTAACTCGTGCTAAGTATCTAAGGCAGTATCTTGCAGAGTAGCTCTAGTTAACACATATTGCTTTTGTCTGATAACATACCACTGTGAATATCTACCCCTCTTCTAATCTATGGGGTTTTACTAGAACTATCGATTACTTGATCCCCCCTTCCTTGTTATATAGGTTGTGGTGTGTGTGTGTGTGTGTTTGTGTGTGTGTGTGAGAGAGAGAGAGAGAGAGAAACAATGTGATAACAATTTGAAACGCTTTGCCTAAAGGTATTCTACACTTAGGTTTGACTTTAATTGCATCAAAATGCATTGTCTTTTGTTTAAGTTAGTTTGATTAATATCTTCTAACTGGCACTCAATTCTGTCCATCATAAACAGTGCTACTTAGAAGTGGGGAGTTACAAATGATGAATCGTAAGTTACAGAATGAGTTAGGGTTTGCAGTTCCTATTTCTGAAACATTATTATCATAATTTGGACTACACATTCACAGAATATGAAGATTTCGATGTCTTGTTAATAAATTTGTCCTGAACTCTTGGCTATCTCTTTTTCACCTTCAGTTAGATGTTCCAAAGCAGTTTCAGGCTTCTTTTACACTCGCCCATTCTAAAGAAGAGAAGGAGGAAATGTAATGGAGTTTTTGCAAAATGACACGTTATGGCTTATAATTAAAAACTAAAATTGCTGAAATTTATTTTTAAAGATAATTAGATAATCACAGACCTGAAAATCTGTATTTTAAGCAGAATTCAGAGTGATGATGGTAAACAGAAGTATATAAGACTGGTACCTGAGATTAACAAAATAATTGCTATAAATCTAATTCCCAAACTGAATTACTTTATTAAAGTTGAGAAAATACTATGTCCGTGTTCCTGCTTTATCCCACAGTCAGACAGAATCTATTAGACTGAGAGGCTTTGAACATGTGCAGCACTTGAAGAGTTGTTTCTAAAGGATGATAAATCGTATCACCAGTGTCCAAATTCAAGTTTTGTGACTTTATTCAGTCTCTCAATTCCATTACAACCTCTGACATAGGCAAAACCAAAACTGGCCAGAGTCTTTCTGTGGTTGTTAGGAAATACATGACCAGAGTAAGACTTGTTAATGAGTCATTATGAATGCTGTCCTGAAAGCATCCTCTAAATACCCATAATAGGACATTTAGGCAATTAGATAGAAGAGTCTGAATAGCTCTCTGAAGAGAACTCTGCCCCTTCACTTATCTCAAATCGGTATACTGAGGACCATAACCAAGAAGACAGGACCTCAGTTATCTATAGTGAGTAACATAATAGGAGGACCTTCACTATCTGGGGAGGAAATACGTATTGAACCTGGCCCAAAGAATATGATTTATGTTAAAAATTGTAAATGCCTTATGTTACTCATCTTCCCTCCTGATCTTCTACCATTACATATTGAATGTAGATCATTAAATTTTTCATTTTGACAAGAGATTGCTGAATATTGAAAGGAGATCACCACAAAATTAAAGATATATCTTAAATTCATCTTGTTATCATGATATCACTTTAGAATAAGATATCTTGGGAATAACTTAGTTTAATTCTCTTGTGGATTTGACAAGGTATTTTTTCTATTCTACATAGCATAGCATACAGTGAGTACCATATACTTAATGTTTAACATATGGGCTGTAGGATATATATGAGTGACAAATGACAAAGAGATGTGATATTCTGCATTTTTGCCTCTGTTAGAGCTCTCTTACCTATCTTATGGAGAGTTTATACTTGCAGACTGAAGTCATGCCAAACCACACAGAGCTGACAGATGGACAGAGGCCTCTGATTATCGTGGTCAAGCCCCTGGAAACAGCTCTACCTGAGAGCAGATTTTTTCTTGGAAAACTTAAGAGAGATGAGCCAACAATTTTACTTGCCAAATGTACTTTTGCTTTCTTATGGTTAAATATATTGTTACATGTTTGTATTGAAAATATTATTAATAAAAAGAGTAGGTGTGAGTGTGACCAGAGATTCTGGCCCATGGACAAGTGGTTCAATGAGAGTATTTTACAATACAGTTCCTGGATGTGATTTTGGGTAGCCTACTTTGGGGAAAAGATGAAGTGCATTTCTGCTTACTGAATAATAAGAAACAATTGCTGAAGTAATATCTGTGGTCAGAAAAATGGATTACAGCGGTTGGTCTGTCCTCAGTGACATGTTCATTCTCAGGACTTTGGGAGATGAGGACTGATAACAGACACATTTTCTTAGTGAGAGCTGAGTTCCTGCCATCTGCAACTGAAAGCATCTTGACTATAAACAAATGTTAAAGGTAGGTTTCTTACCATAAAGTGTACCAAATCCAAAGGGAAATGAAATAATGAAAGATAATGAAAAGAGAAGGAGAACTGAAGCCAAATGAAAGAGAATTGAAACTAAAGCCCAGGAATAATGCCTATGAACATTTGGGCTGAGGTAATTCTTTACCATTCCTTGGGAACACACAAAATCTGCAAAACTGTGTACTTACATTCATTAACAAGTGTAGCTTTTTGTTTATATAGTGATCAAAGAGCAAATTCTTACCTGCAGTCCTAGAAAATATGGCATGTCATCAGATTTATTTAATGTACATTTTCAGGTAGAGATAGAAAAACAATTTTGATGAGTCATTTTAATTTATAGGTTTGGTTTACCAGATTTTATATTTTATTGTTTTACACACACAGAGCCAAGACATAATCTCATTAAAAAAAAAGATTTTGTGGCTACTCTGCTATTCACACTCTGTGACTACTACTACTTAATATTAGTTGAGTTCTACATGTCAGGAACCATACTTTATTCAATATAAAATTTAATTATCTTAACAATTCTAGGAATTGGGTATTTTTACTATTCCTACTAAATAAATGAGACAGGTCTTACGAGAAGGTAAACAATGTTGGGAGAAAATTCTCCATAGGACTCTCACTCTTTTCCATAGCTTTGAGCAGAGGTACTGACAGACTATATTTTCTAAGGATATAGCAAATGGCCTTGGGAGCTAGAGACAGCATCTGCCACCAGAGCAGAGGTCAGGTCTGTTACCTGTCCAGTATAATAAATATAATGTCTCCCTCTGGGGAAAGGTTAGGCAAGTTTGACTGAACATCATTGAAAAAGATTGGGGCTTTCAAAGGTTTGCCTTTCTTGGCTCAGATATAAACCCACTAGGTGTGATACATGCACTAGGCCCACCTGTGTCTCCACCATGGGGCTGAGAGGCATGGAGCACTGGTGCAGTCATAAGGCTCACACTGCTTACCAACACAAAGTCCTTTTTCTTTGATCAGGAATGTTGTGTCTTCTGCCAGCATTCATGGAACAGTAGCAAGCTAACTTGTTCATTCAAAAGTAAGGTAAAATCAAAGAACATTCATAATTCTTATTAAACAATGTGTTTAAAGCTATCCAGACAGAGCGAGCAAAGAGCCAAGTTTTATACCTAGAAATAATTATCTCTGTATCCCTTTTTAATTTAATAGTTGTGTTGCATTGGCTCCTACACCAGCCATGGGATGCTATTATAATATGTTAGTTTATTAAGGTTTAACTGTATTAATAAGTAATTGTATTATAGTAATATTTTCATTTCTATTTATAATTCTACCTCAGTCTAAAAATAGAAATATAAATTAGAACTTTCAGAAAATCTGTTCATCACTTTGAAGAGAATATGAAACAAAGACACAGTTTAAAAGAGCAATTTATCTCTAAAATAACATCTTGAGAATGCATCTATCAATTTGGTGGTTAGCATTGTGAAGTAAAAAAAAAAAGGGAGAGTTAAACAAGAGCTCTCAAGATGGAGAGTAAGTTGGCTGATTCAGTTCAATAATGAGTTTACTAAGAAAAGGAAATATTATTCATTGTAAGTGGGAAGTCAGAAATGAAGTGTTTAGTGAGAATTTCCTGACAAATACTGGCAGGAAGAGGATGAAAGATACACACTCAATATGTGCTTTATTTTGTAATTTTGGCATTTTGCAGATCTTATCTACATAAGTTCAGAGCTCAATTTGTACCACATTTATTTATTAAAATTTTAAACTGACACTCTTCATTCATCTTCTTTTTAACTTCCACCCCTGGGAGCAGTCCTTGTCCATAATAATCTCAGTGCATAATTCAATATCAATAATAAAATTTTATGTAAATACTTGAGCATGAATAACATTTTGTATAATTTATTCTAATAATAAAAATATGTAAATAATTAGCTACGCTTTATAAAGAAAAATTGAGTCCCTGAGGTCTTTACTAAACTAGCCAAGGGCAAACAGCTTATAAATAAGTTTGTTTCGAACTTAAATCTTATTTTCCACAAACAATAAAATACTCTTTTATTTTACTAAAAGGATTATCGGAAAGCAAATTACATTCAACTCTGAAAGAATAATTCACCTGAGTAATGCATTTGAGTGACGAGTCTGTGTACAATGCCACATACAGGGGACTACTTGGAATGAAACATAGTTTCATAGTTTATGTCTGTGTGATGCTGTGAAAAAGTACATGATTATAAAAAAACAAAGGTTCTTAAGGAAACAAACAAGCACAGTGCTGCTCTAATGGAGAATATAACACTGATGTGAATAGTGAGATGTATTTACTCAGGAAAGAGCACACTGTGGGGATGATATACAAGCAGAGAGCTCCAGGAAGGTAATAAGCCAGTTTTGTGAAGAGCCTCCAGAAGAGAGCTCAAGTTAGTGGAAATAATACATCCAAATGCAAGTAACAGGTATGCTATTGAAGGGTTTAAGCGACTGAACAATGACCAATTTTGCTAGAGAACAAAAATTAAAGTAGAGAGGTCACAAAATACTTTGGTGAGAAGAATTGTATTAGGCCATGCTTGCATTGCTATAAGAAATCCTGGAAACTGGGTAATTTATAAGGAAAAGAGATTTAATTTGCTCACAGTTCTGCAGGCTGGACAGGAAGCATTGTGCTGGCATCTCCTCAGCTTCTGTGGAGGCCTCAAGGAGCCTTTATTCATGGTGGAAGTGGAAACAAGAGCAGGCATGTCACATGGTAGAGTGGGAGCCAGGTGGGGGTGCCACACACTTAACCAGATCTCGTGAGAACTTACCTTTGCTCACTATTGCAAGGATAGCACCAAGCCATGAGGAATCCACCCCACAACCCAAACACCTCTGACCAGGCTGTTTGCAATAAATAGAATAATGTGGAAAACTGGTAAAAATGAGATGCAGATATGCAAATTAAGGAGCCATTATTGTTATTATTGTAAAATCTGGTGGCTAGTGGCAGTGAATGAAAAACAAAGATTTAAGAGATACTGGAAAAGAAAAAGAACAATCATTGTTGTTGGAGTTGGACTGACAAATAAGGAAGTAGAAAAAGAAAGCAAAAATGCTACACCTATATTCCTTGGAATGAGAAATTGGCTGATTAATTTGGATTTAACAGAATTTGTACATGATTATAGTTTCTGTTGTAGTTCATTTGATACTTTTAAATACTTGCATTGTTTTTATTATTATTGAATTTCAAATAAATACAAAGAAAAATAAAATATTTACATACAACTTAAAAACTCTTTTCTTACAAAATATCTATTTAAAAAGCATATTGTCTGAAAGATTTTAGAAATTCAGCTACATTGTTTACAAAAGATATTTTCCAATTGCAGAAAAACTAAAAAGTGAAATGATGAAAACTATGTATGTAAGTCAAATGCTGATCAATAAAGAGAAAAAGCACAATTCTATAATAATACTTTCAGAAATTAAATTACAATACTCTAATATTATATGGTACAGGAGATAAAAATAGTACTACTTCAGAGGTAAGTTTATGCATATGAAATATATGTGTATATATTATATATACATATATAAATATGTATATATTATATATACATATATAAATATGTATATATACATATATGTATACATACATATATACCTATGTATACATTATATTGTATGTATACATCATATTATATGATGTATACATTATATTGTATGTATACATCATATTGTATGTATACATCATATTATATGTATGTATACATTATATATAATATATGTATACATACATATGTATGTATATACATTATATAAAATATATGTATACATACATATATATGTATATACATTATATATAATATATGTATACATACATATATATGTATATACATATATACATATGCATATGTATATATAATATGTATATATTATAGGTGTATATATGTATATATAAAATATATATTTTATATATTTTTTAATCTAGATATCAACTTTATAAATATTTAAATTTTATAAATATATAAACTAAAAATGTGTATATATTTTATAATATACTTTTGATATTATATGGTATATATTATTAAATGACAATTATTTCACTCAGCTCATAATATATAAAAGATAGTTGAAAAGTTAAAAAACGTGGCACACACCCGTAGTCTCAGTTACTCAGAGGACTGAGGTGGAAGGATCGCTTGAGCCCAGGAGTTTGATTTCAGCCTGGGCAACAGAATAAGACCCTGTCTGTAAACAAACAAACAAACAAAGTAAAAAAATACTTGGTGTGGTGATATCAGTGGATATGGTGAAATCTTCAAAAATTCTCTCTCCTTAAAATGCTGTGAGAACCCTGGATGATTGTTGGAATCATTTTTCTATGAACCACTGAGAATACAAAAGACTTGAAATAATTCAGAGATGATTTATTCAAAGAAAATGTCTGAATCTCTGCAAGAACAGTGAGTTTTGTAATAACTTAATTTGTTCTATCTCCGGTTCCAAGATGTTATAGGACCAACAGGTTTGTAAGCCTGCTGTGCAGTAACAGACCAATTACACTGAGACAGCAGGGATGCAGCAGAGAAAGAGTAATGATTACAGGGTGCCAAGTGAGAAAATGGGACAAGACTCTCAAATCCATCTCCTGAGGAGCTCTGTGCTGAGATTTTTAAGATCACGGAGGGTGGAGGACTAGAAAATTGAGATTGTTGATTGGTTGTGGTAAGGAGGATGAAATCTTCGGAATATAGAAACTGTATTCTTTGGTTAGTCACCTCCTCATGGAGTCCTTCAGATCAGTTGCTGTCAGTGGGGACCTTAAGATCAGCTTGAGTTAGTAGTTTCTTCAGTATGCAGGACCTGAAAGAATATCACAAAGAGGAAACTTTATGTTTTGTAATATTCAAGTTGTTATTTATAGAACAGTTAAGGAAAATTATAATTTAGGGTCCATGTGATACTAGGACAACAGGCACCAAACAACTATGAGGAAGCAGATCAGAGGGAAAGCCGACCTAATGATTAATGCTGAATGTGCTGCAACCTTGCTCTATTTTTGTCTCTCTCCCTCTCTTCTTCCCTGATTATTATTATTATTATTTTTGAGACAGGGTTGGTCTTAGTCTGTCACCCAGGCTGGAGTGCAGTGGTACAATCATGGCTCACTGCAGCCTCAACTTCCTGGGCTCAGGTGATTCTCTCACTTCAGCCTCCTGAGTACCTGGGACAAGAGGTGTGCATCACCACACCTGGCTAATTTTATTTGTAGAGACAGGCTTTTGCCACATTGCCCAGGCTGGTATTGAACTCCTGAGCTCAGGAGTTCATCCTCCTTGGCCTCCCAAAGTGCTGAAATAACAGACATGAGCCACCACACCTGACCCCCTAATTAATTTTATAGTTTATAGGGACAGTTTCAATGATAGCCTTGAAAATCAACATCCTGCAATCATGTTGAAAACCAAAAGCTTGGAAACCAATGAAAGGGTATAATGATGTTGGAGATTCTTCAAAGCACCATTTCCAGAGAATTGTCCTTGTTTGACTTATCTGGTGGCTCCCTGGAAGCGCACACTTTCAGGGTTTCCTGACTCAGGTCTTTATTTGACCTGACTTGGAGCTTGCCCAGTACTAACAGCCTTTTCTGTAGGCACATTGGTTGAAAATAATTAGTGGCAATTTTTAAAATATCATTCGGCATGACCTGAGGTTATAAATAAAAGTTTGGGCAAACAATAGGCTAATCTAAAAGCTTAAAAGTGAAAGCTTGGTCATGACAAGTTTATATGGGCTTTAATGAGCAGCTACTTATTGCTGGTTATCTATAAGGCCACATGCATATATAGGGATTTATACATGCCCATAATGATGCATCTGTTCAGAAAATAAGTGAGAATGCCCTGATCTCTCACATCTGGCTCCTAGAGACTCTGCACAAATAGAAAGGAAAGGCCAAGCTTCATTGCTGATTGCTCACAGTATGCTTCAACATGAACACAGAGCCACTCGGTAAAGACAAAGAGATGTATTTTTCTTCCAGGCATTTAAGGAAATTACTATCCATTTATTAGCTGACCACTAGGCCAACAAAGTAGACGTCAGTGCCAAGACAGAATACAAACATTAGAGAATTCCGGAACTCACTAAGCAAGCGAATACAACAAAAAAACCAGAAACAACAACATAACTTGGGAAGGGAAGAGAATATGATTTCTAGAGTTACCACACTATATTATTTAGAATGTCCAATTTTCAACTACAAGCAAAACATTCAAATAAACAAAGTATGTTCGACACAAGGGAAAAAGCAGTAATTATACACTGTCACTGAGAAAACTCAGTGGACTTATTAAAGAAAGGCTTAAAATCAACTATTAAAAATATTCAAAGAACAAATGAAAATCATTTCTCAAGAACTAAAGGAAAGCATAAGAACAATGTGTTTGTTACCCAGAAAGACTATAGAGATTAAAGTGCTTTTAAAAAGAGAAAAATTAATTTCTGGAGTGAAAAATTCAGTAAATAAAATTACAAATGTACTAGTGTGGCTCAGCAGCAGATTTAGGCAAGAAGAAGAATGAATCAGAAAACTTGAAAGTATAACAATTATGTTATCCAGCCTGAAGGAGGAAAGGTAAAAATAATATAAACATAAGATAAACTGAGCCTCAAAAACCCGAGAGCCACCATCAAGTGTACTGACATATGCATAAAGGAAGACACAGAAAAAATGAAGAGATAAAGAGACAGAAAAAAATATTTGAGAAAAACAACTGCTGAAAACGTTAATCTATTCATCAAAGAAGCTCAATGAAATTTGATTGGATGCCATCAAATAGATCTCACCCAGAAACATTATAACAAACTGTTAAAAGACACTGATAAACAGAAATCCTGCAAGCAGCTGGGAGAAACAACTTATCACATACAACGGACTCTCAATAGAATTTGCAGCCAATATGTCTTCTAAAAACCACAGAGAGCAAAGGGCAATAAAATGGCATCTTAAAAACGCTGCAAAAAAAAAAATGACTACACATGAAGAATTCTATAATCAGAAAAATTATACTTCAGAATGAAGGAAAAATTGAGTCACTTCTACATAAATAAAAACAAAGAAGTCATCATTCAGATATGCCTTACAAGAAATACTAAAGGTATCATTCAGGCCGAAATGACAGAATACTAGTCAGCTACTTGAATCCAAATCAAGAAATAAAGAATAGTGATAGAGATAATTACATAAAAGACTATGTACAAATATATTTGTTTGCATTTTTATCTATCTGATTAAACAGACAAATAATTATACATCTATGTTGATGGCCACACAATAAAGACATAATTCACATGACAGTAACAGGACAAAGGAGGGGAGCGGCAATGGAGCTATATAGGAGCAAAGTTTTGTATACTATTAAATCTAAGTTTGTAATAATGCAAACTATATTGTTATAAATTAATGTGGTTAATTGTAATCCCTAAGATAACACCACACACACACACACACACACACACACACACATTCAATAGCTATACTAAAAAAATTAAAAAGACAAAATTAATTTAGAACAATAGAAATTATCTAATTAACATAGAATAATGCAACCATGGAAGAAGAGAAGAAGAAAAAAATCAGATATATGAAAGACAAACAGCAAAATAGCAGACATAAATCCTAATATCAGTTGCTATATTAAATATAAATAGATTAAGCACTTCAATTAAAAGACATAGATTAGTAGACTAGATTTTTTTAAATGATGCCACTATATGCTACCCACAAAAGACATTTTTTCCATTTAAATATGTGTAGGTAGGCTGAAAGTAAAAAGATGCTCACCATATATCATTAAAACAATAATTGAAAACTGTTGTGGCTATACTAATGCCATACAAACTATAATTTAAGATAGTATTTGTTTTACAAGACAAATCAGGACAATTTGTCTGAAAAAAGTGTCAATACATCAAGAAGATATAAAAATTATAGAAAACAGACCCCCCAAAATACATGAAATGAAAATTAATAGAATTGAAGAAAGAAATAAAATAAAATTATACCTGAAAATGTAAATATTTCAGTTTCCATAATGGATAGAATAAATTTATAGATGACTAACAAGTAAATAAAAAACTTAAACATATTATACAGCAACTATACCCAACAAATATCTGGAACATTTCATTGAACTACTGAAGTTTACATATACATCTCAAGAGCACAAGAAAATTTTTCCAGATAAACCATATGTTAAGCAATAAAACAAGTCTCAATAAATGTACAATAGAAAAGTTGTACAAGGTATGTTCTTTGTACACACAAAAGAATTAAATTTGATATTAATAGTGGAAGGAAATTTGGGAAATTTATATATATGTGGAAATAAAACAACACAATTCGAAATAAGCAACGAAACAACTAAGAAATCAAAAGGAAATTCCAAAATACCTTAAGATGAATAAATAAGAAAGCACAAACGACTAAAACCTATGGGATAAAATGAAAGAAGTATTCAGAGAGAAATTTATAGTTGTAAATACCTACATTATAAAACAAGAAAGATGTCAAATGAATAACCTAACGTCTTATCTTAACCAAAAAAATAGCGTTCTACACCGAAATCATGTAGAAGACAGGAAATAATAAACATGAGTGATAAGTAATAGAATAGAGAACAGAAAACAATAAAAAATTAAAGAAACTGTCAATTGTTTGGAAGATTAACACATTTGACAAAACTTTACCAAATCAATAAAAAAAGAGATACCTGAAACTATTAAAATCAAGAATGAAGAAGGGTACTTTACCACAACTTTACAGAAATAAAAAAGACCATAGAGTATAATAAGAACAACTGCATGTCAACAAATAGGTAATAGAATGTGTAATGGACACATTCCTAGAAATCTACAAATTATCCAAACGGACTCAAATAATTTAAAAATATGAATAGACCCATGACAATTAAACTGATTGGATTAGCAATCATAAACTTCCCACAAAAAGGGGTGCAATACTAGATGGCTTCTCTGGTAAATACTAACAAGTGTTTAAAGAAGAAGTAATACTAATTTTTAACAAGTCTTAAAAAAAAAGGATGGAGCACTTCATAACTCATTCTGGGAGATCAGTGTTACCCTGATCCCGGCACTAGTCAAAGATATTTCTCACACATACAACCAAAGCAGAAGAGTAATTAAAACTACAGCCAAATATTATTATGAATGTGGAAATAAAAATATTCAACAATATGCTTGCAAATTGAATTCAAGAACATGTAAAAATAATTAAAAATCATAATCAAATGGGTTTTGTCCCAAAAAGGCATGGTTGGTTTAATATATAAATGTCAACCTATAGCATATTATTATAATAAAAGACAGTAATACATAAAAATTTCAAAAGATGCAGAAGAAAATCTAACATTTAAAAAATTTAAAAAGCACATACACAGTAGAAAATAAAGAAGTTTTCCAAACTTGATAAAAGACATCTAGGAAAAAATGCAGGTAACACTATACTTATTAGCTAAAATTATAACACTCTTAAAAGAAAGCATAAATGTAAATCTTCACGATCTTGGATTATACAACTGTTTCTTAGCTATGATACCAAAAGCACACACAATAAAACAACAAAATATTAAACTTTATCTAAATTTGTTTTTATGCTTCAAAGATTATGATCAAGAAAGTTAAAAGATTATCCTTATAGGGAGAGACACACAAAAAAATTTTAAATGTAATAAAAGAAAAAAATTAAAAGGCTACCAAAAGAATTGGAGAAAATGTTTTCACATAATATATCTAATAAGAAACATATCCAGAATATAGAAATAATTGTTCCAGCTTGACAGTAAAAAGACATATTCTAATTAAAAGTGGACCAGAGATTTCCCTAGATATTTATTCAAAGTACGTGTACAAAATACTGATAAGCATATAAAGAAATGCTTATAATCTTTAGTCATTAATAGAATGCAAATCAATACCATAATGAAATACCACTTCACACTTGCTAATGATACAGGAGGGGGGCAGGGAAGTGCTGGGTAGAGAAAGGCATGGGTCCCTGGCAAAGGCTCCACCCTTGGGCCTGTGCCCATGAACCGAAATGAGGATAGGCATTTCTGTTTCATGCCCAAAAAGTTGTCTTTTGGCCTGCCACGCCCCCCATCTGGTGACCATATAAACCTGAGACCTTAAGCGGGCACAGACGCAAGTGGCTGGACATCGAGAAGAGCAGAGGGACACACCGGCAGACACCAGCAGGTGCTGGCTGACCAGCGACGGTGGAACAATGCAGACGCTGAGGGTTGGTCAGCCAGGGGCAGTCAGAGGAGAGGCCAGCCACTGGGCGGCCCATTTCCAGGGGAAGACCACCTTCCCACTCCATACCCTTTCTGGCTCCACATCTGTCTCCCTGAGAGCCACTTCTACCACTTAATAAAACCTTGCACTCACCCTCCAAGCCCATGTGTAATCCGATTTTTTTGGTGCACTGGGCAAGAACTCAGGATATAGAAAGCTCTCTGCCCTTGCGATAAAGTAGAGGGTCTAATAGAGCTGACTAACACAAGCTGTATGCAGATGGCAAAGCCGAAACAGCACTGTAAAAAAAAACCGTAACACATGCCCACTTGGGCTTCAGGAGTCATAAACACTCACCCCCTAGACACTACTGTGGGGTCAGAGCTCAAAAGTGCTCCCCACAACCTGTGCATGTGCCCATCTGCATGCTCCCCCTAGGGGTTTGAGCAGCAAGGCACCGAAGAAGTGAGCCACACCCCTGTCACATTCCCTGTGACGGGGAAAAGGTAACTTTCTTGTTTCAGCTGGGGCTCATCCGGGATACTCTCATCAGAAGCTAAGTGCAAATATGAAACTGTTGGATCTGCTTCTTCCAAGACCCTGCCACCTCTTTCTATTTCCTGCAGGTAAATGGCTCTGTTCCCTTCACAGAGGTTTAACTACCCTAATGGGCACCGGTCAAAACCCCCAGACTTTGTTTGGTGTCTTTTCTTCTCTCATGATTTGAAATGGCTCTTATCTCTTCCTTTATAATGTTAAGAGTTTTGCTACATGCTGCAGCAATGTAGCCAAGTAAAATGAGCATTTGGTTCAGCCATCAAAGGTGCAAATCAGAGCAATCGTTCTTAGAGGTACCATTCCTGCCTCCACCGTGACAGCTGCAGGCGTGCACAGCTCACAGCACCTCCTCTTCCTACCCTCTCCCCTACTAGCTCAGGCACCTGGGCACGTTCACAGCATGCAAAGCCCATGCCCGGTGGCCACAAGGGGTGGGAGAAAACTGTGGCTACCACAGGGACCCTGCAGGGCCAATTGGCTGGTACTCCCCACCCACCATACCAACAGAACTTTTTCTCCCCTGGCCAAAGAATTCAACCTAGCCTGAAGTGGGAAAAGGATACAAGGATTAAAGGGACCCACCTGCACTGAGCAAGGGATTCTTCCCGCAGGAGCTCCCCCTTTGGCCCCTTAAACTGGTTTTTTAAATTTTTTTATTTGTTGCTTTTCTGAGTGAGAGGGTTCGCCTCTCCAGCACGCTCCTTCTGCTAGGGAAGTTAGCAGAGGAATGACCCCTGCTGGCTGATAACTGCAAATTTAGCAGGACTCATTTGAGACACTCTAAACAGATACATGCAGCCCCTTGAGTCCCAAACTTGATTCCAAGCTTCAGGCTGAGGCCCTAGAAAGGAAAACCAGATCTGAGGGATCTAAAGCCAGGTGACAGGCACAATGTAAATAGGCAGGAACAATTCCTGCCGACTGAACCCCTACCCCATGGAAGCAGGCCATACTCCATGGTATAAATGAGGCCCAGGGAACTCAAAGGTTGTCAACAGCAGGGGAAGAAGGAGGCATAGATGTGGGCAGTTAATTCCTATTCTCTAGGTCTTCCCTGCTTCATGGGTTCATACCACATTGGGTTGTTAGTATATTTCCCTTCTTATCTCTGTAATCTTTGGCCCTAAATTCTTTCCTTGTATAATACATGTGTTTAATCCATGCATATTTAACCTTTATAAAACTTATTTTTTTCTCTCTCAGAGGCATCAAACTCCAAACAGTCAGGCCACTGGAGCTTCAGATGATGGCTCCCCTTTGCCAGGAACCCTTAAATAGACCTCAGGAAGGAATCTGAATGCTGTTTTCCCCAAAACAACACCCCCTGTCAGCAGGAAGTAGCTAAGACTGGTCGTCATCCATATTCTAAAGGCAGTTAGATGTGTCTCTTCAGAGGGGGAAGATGATATGGGAGTAGGGCAAAAAAGTGCTGGGTAGAGATGGGCAGATCCCTGGTGAGGGCTCCACCCTCAGGCCTGTGCACATGAACCTAAATGAGAACAGGCATGTCTGTTTCTGTGCCCAAAAAATTGCTTTTTGGCCTACGACACTCCCCATCCTGTGCCCATATAAACCTAAGACCTTAAGCGGGCATAGACACAAGTGGCTGGACACTGAGAGGAGCAGAGAGGCACACCAGCAGACACTGGCAGACCAGCAATGGAGGAATGATGCAGACACCAAGGGGAGTTTGGCTGGGAGTGGTTGGGGGAGAGTTGGGCCACTGGGAGGCCTGACTCCAGGGGAAGACCACCTTCCCACTCCATCTCCCTTCCAGCTCCCCATCCATCTCCCTGAGAGCCACCTCCACCACTCAATAAAACCTTGCACTCACCCTTTAAGCCCACATGTGATCCTATTTTTCCGGTTCACTGGGCAAGAACTCAAGATACAGAAAGCCCTCTGCCCTTACAATAAGGCAGAGAATCTAATTGAGCTGACTAATACAAGGTGTCTGCAGATGACAAAGCTGAAAGAGCACACTGTAAAACACACCCACTTGGGCTTTGGGAGTCATAAACCCTCCCCCTTAGATGCTGCCATGGGCTCAGAACCTAAAAGCGCTCCCCACGACCTCTGTACCTGCCTGTCTGCATGCTCCCACTAGAGGTTTGAGTAGCAGGGCAAAGAAGATGTGAGCCACACCTCTGTCACATGCCCTGTGAGGGAGATAAGGGATCTCTGCTGTTTCGCTATGATGGCTTTGATCAAAACGTAGGCAATAAGAAGTGTTGGCAAAGAACTGGAGAAATTGAAACTCTCACACATTGTTTATGGGAACATAAAATGAGGCAAGCACTTTGGAAAACAATTTGGTAGTTCCTCGAAAAAATTAAACATAGAGTGACCAATATTCTCATTCCTGGCATATAAGTGTAATGAAAAGATGTGACAAAACGGATGCTTGTACATGAATATTCATAGCATTATTCGTAATAGCCAAAAAGAGGAAAGCAATTTTTGTCTATACTTTGGTAAATGCATGAAAAAATATAAGATATCCATGCAATGAAATATTATTCAGGTAAAATACAAGAAATTAAATACTAATACATGCTAAGCCATGAAAACCTTGTAAACATGCTACAAGGTTTACAAGCCAGTCACAGAAGATCACATGTTGTATGATTTTATTTATATAATATTTCAAAAACTGGAAAGTATATCAAGACGGAAAATTGATTAGCCATTTCCAGGGCCTGGAGTAAGGGGTATAGGATGCGTCTTCTAATAGATACAAGTTTGTTTTGGTGCAGATGAAAATATTCTAGAATTAGTTACTACTGTTAGTTTTGCAACATTTTCAATATACCAAAAACTACTGAATTATGCACTTTAAAAGTGTTTGTTTTATGGTATGTGAGTTAAGTCCCAATTTTTAAAAAATGTATTGGAGAAAAAAGAAGATATGACAAGAAGGGTGATAGACATCCTGAGAATTGATGGTCATCAAATTTATACCTAACTTCAGCCCACTATCTCGTGATTGTGAGATAGTTCCACTTTGAATATATTTGATACTTAAAACAGTGTTATGAAATGATGGAAATTAAAATTATCTCCATTTTGCAAATAAGAAAGCAGGCATAAAGTTACTAGGCTAAGATTACACAATTTGTGACTCAGATGAAACTCAAAACTAACTCCTATTTTAGAGAGATGTTGCAATTATTTCAATGGGAAGTGTGCTTCAAAAAAAAACCCCACTAAATTTAATTCTGGTATTTCTAACAATATAGCATAAAATAAAAGTTGATTACATATTTATTATTGCTAGATAAAAGGATATATACACTCATGTGCACAGAAATATTTCTTGCTACTAGTATCATGTTCTTAGAAATTGGATTCAGTTCTTTGTTTCCAAAGGTAGCGAAGAGAAGAAGAGATGAAAAATACAAGAAAAGGGCTGTGTGTGCCAGAACTGTTATGGAAATCATGTAAGTGGGATAAGTCTAAACCACAGACAGTAGTCAGAACTCTGGCAAGCTTTGTTTTTCTTGACTATATGTTGCAGCTGTCATTCACATTCAGATAATTCTTGTAATGGAGGAGATAGCTCTTATGTTAGCAAATCCGTAGATTTTTTTCAAGAAAAGTTGGGACTATGGATTTTAATGTTAAATCTCCAGATTGGCAAAAGTTTCTTTTTTAACAATTTTAAAATTTTGAAACATAAGGCCAAACAAAACATGTCAATGGAACATGCTTAAATTTAACCTTGTGATATTTGTTTGAAGATTATGAACAACGAATTCATCATATTTTTTCTTAGACATGATATTTGCAAATAAAATCTATAAATGTGCATAAAAATATATCATGACCAAGTTAGGTTTATCTCAGGAATGCATTATTTACCACATTAATGGATTAAAGTAAAAAAACATATAAATAAAATTATTGAACCAGAGGCAAAATTATCTGTGAAACTATCAACAACTGTGGTTTTTAAAAAAACCTTACCTTAAAATAGAACTGAATTTCCTTACCAGGTTAAAATGTGTCTACAAATATCATACATCCAAAGTCACACAATAAAAAAATTTTTTTAGAAGTCAGGAAGGAAACAAGTGTCCAACAACCTGATTTCTACTTAACACTGGATTGAAGGACCTAGACAGATCAAGTCAGACAAAAGTATAGAAAAATAAAACAATAAAATTACAATTTAGGAATTATAAAGAAAAAAATCATTATTCAAAGATACTATGATTTCCTACTCAGAAACATAAATGAATGTACAGCTAAAGTTATAAATGATAGAGATTAATAAGTCTGCTATATATAAGACACATATTTCAAAAATCAATAAGAATTGTATATGCCAGGAACCGTTAGAGATGTAATTTTAAAATTTTACACAATTTAAAAGCTATAAAGTAATTGAAATAAATATATATTTTTAAATATGTATAAAATGATTCTGACTCAATGGGGATATATAAGAGGTAACTGTCAGACGCAGTTTTCTAAAAGTGTCAGTTTTCCTTATATTAACCTATCCGTTTAGTGTAATTTTATTCACATTCTTAAAATTGTTATTTCTGGTGGAACTTGGCAAACTAATTCTATTTTTTTAAACAAAGATCAAAGGACCAACAATAGCAAGACAATTTCTCCATCAGAGGCACAAGGTAACAGGGATTATTACAAAACTATAGTGAGCAATACCATGCATTTTATTATAGGAATAGACCAAGCAAGACCAGAATAACCCAGAATACAACATATGCATAAATAAAATGATATGGCACTGGTGGCAAAAGAAAGCAGTGGAAATAAGAGGGACTATTCATTGACCAGTGGTAGAGTACTTCATTTTCAATAAGAAATATATATATATAATTAGATAATTTCCTCTTATAGAAAATAATCAATGTGAAAAAATTTTACTTATATGATATTTAACATTAAAATTCATGAACACAGCTTTTCTGGAAAAATGTACAGATTTGTGACATGAGAGCTGCCTCCTCCATTATAACAATTCTCTGAAGATGAGTGACAGCTCCATGTAATTAAACATATCGCAAGTTGTAAGAGTCAAAACATTAAACTTTAAGAATAAAATGCGTGTGAATATCTTTATTATCCAGAATAAGCAACGATTTTTGAAACATAACATGGAAATCAATATTCTATTTGATCATTCTACCTCTGATATTGCCTACTAATATTCTGCCCTTTGCTCACTCTGCTTTAGCTATATTGACCTCATCGTGTTCTCAAATACATGAAAACTTTTTATACTTTAAGACTATTGTACACACTCTTCCTTGTCCCAGGAATGCTTTCCCCCCAGTTATCTCCATGGTTGTTGATGCTTTATCTCTTTCCAATATTTTTTTTCCAAACATCACCTTTTCACAAGACCTACCCAGGTTTCCCTTAAAAAATGACAATTTCTCTTAATTCTCACTTCAGAAATTCCAATGTCTTTAGTCTACTTTTAACTTAACCCTGTGTAACTTTCTAACATATTGTGTAATGACATTTTTATAATGTGCATTAAAAAAATTGTTTGCAGTATGTCTCGTTACTAGGATATAAACCCCAAGAGAGCAAAGATATTTGTCTTGCTTACTGATGTATTCTCAAGCACTGAAAACTGAGTAACAAATATTAGGATAAATAAAATTCTCTGATGTAATTAATTAACATTTATTACGCAGTCTCCACTTTTATAGCTTGTACTTTTATTTTCTCTTGTTTAGTAAATGCTTACAAATCATGAGTATTCGTTCATATTTTTTGAAAAGTTATATAGTTTTACTTTTAAGACGTATGTATTTAATTACCTGAAATTCATTTTGTGTGTGGAGTGAGGTAATGATATGCATTATTTTCACTTTTCCACATATATTAAATATTAAGCATTTTCTGAAGTGATCTTCAATGTCAACTGTCACCTCCTTCGTGGATCAAGTTTTTATTTGTGCTGTTGCTGGTCCTGCTATTTTCTCTTTTTTTGAAATTACATCATTTAACCTTTATCATCAGTCCATGAATGAGATTTCTCTTCACATTCCCAGTTAATGAGAAAACAGAGATCTTTGTTGCTAGCTGTTGCAAATCATATCTTTGAATTCAATCTGCACTACATCTCCAGACAACAAATGATAGTGATCCTTCCCTGCTCCATTACTGCAGATGTGTATTTAAATTTGCCCCTCTCTCTTACCTTATGAAATACATACTGAACTATCTCATTCCTCCAGCTCTGAAGTTATCCTGAATTCTAAGCTGTCATTGAGTTAATATTTACTGATCAAACCGTGAGCTATTTTTCAGGAACACGGGAATTAATTTATTCCCTATAAAATTGCCAACTCTTTCGTGCTTTATCTAAGAATCTCCAATCTCTGCGTAACCTACTGCACATTAGGAACTTAATTAGCATTTTGCAAAATGGCTATGTCCGTAAATGAAAGACATCTCAAGATTCACGTAACTGCTATTCTCCTTTTACAATGTTAGCTTATTCAAAATCAAAATTTACATTTAAAAATATCCTTGCTTCAGACTATGGGACGCTTATTTCTACATGTATTTTGTTTGAAATGGGACTTCGGAGATATATTTTTCTTTTTTTGAACGATATAAATGTCAAATGGAAATTTTCATTATGTTTGCTATCATCTTATCCAATAATCTAGGAATGGTATATTAATAGATACTATAGATTTACCTAGTGTGTCCCTTGGGGTGATTTGATTTTATCAGAAGGATGTGGCGTATAAAAACTGTAGTAAAAATTTCCTTAGAGAGACTTTAAAACTAACCTTTCATGAAAATAATTTAAAATTCCATGATTATGATATTACAGGTGCAGCTCCCTGCAATTTCAAACTAGTGCTAATGCATTATTTGTAGGCTTAATGCTGGTTGTGACAGAAAAAAATATGTAAATGAGAGTGATTCATCTAAAAGTAACTAAAAGTATCAGAGATTTTTTACAATAAAATTCAATGTTCCTAAACTGTTTTGATCAATGGTAGCAGCACCGGGACAATTGTACTGCCACTTCAGGTGAAGATTTTAAACAAATCCACAGTATTTGAATTATAAATTATTGTACAGTTCTAAAGTTTCACCCTATTAATTTATCGTTATAGTTGGGTTATCTGTCTCTGTCTTTGACTGTTATTATCCTTTTCCATCCAAGATGATATTGCTATGATTTGGACCCAGGTGCCATCACCACCCAAGTTAACCAGTAAGCAAAAGACAGCTGCCACTGTGAGTTAAATATATTTTATATCTTTCCAAGTGGGAATTCCAGAAAAGCACATTCAACACAAGGTCAGCAAAACACTTCTGAGGTTCACAGTTCATTGGGGAAATCAGCAGAAGGGCTGGCTGCAGCTGGAATATATGCTAATCACCTTGGAATCAATTGCAATTTCTGCCAAAAGGTATCTCAGGTTTGCCATTATTAAAAATGCGTCAGCCTCAAGTAGTCACTTTCTAGCTCTTACATCCAAAAGGCCATGCCAGCAACTTAGAGGAGCTTGATGTCCAGGATAATGAGATAGGTCAACTGGGAAGGTGTGCTTTATGAGGGTCTTGCATCCAAAATAGTCAATAAGGTACAGCCTACTTTGGCTTTATTACTCATATTTATCAGAAGTCCCATATCCCTTATACAAATATAGCTTGAAGTCATATTTATCATTCCGCTTAACTGTAAGCTCTCAGAGAGTATGCTATGTGCTGCAGTGGATGTCTCAAATCCTGATTGCCTAAGATATTTATTTATTTATTATTTATTTATTCTGACATTGTGTGTTATGATATGCCCACAATAGCTACTGTTTAAATGAATTAAAAATTCTTAAATATAAATATTTTAGTAAACTTTCTACCTTCATGGCTTGCAAATGTTAGCCAAATGTGTAAGAGACAAGGAATGGGAAGAAACTGTAGCTTTATCTTTGTAATTACAATAAGACAGCTTCAGAAAAATGGTTGCTGAATACAGGAGGCCGAGTTCTTTCTGTTAAATAATCCACGCTTTTCCTCTTTTCTGTCATCTGTGTTGTATTCTCATTTCTTAATGGGAAGGTAGTTCCTAATGAAATGAAAAGTTATATGTTTCTGACAAGATTGATTGTTTTCTTGAAGGATAAGGCCAGAGAGTAAACATTAAATATCCTGGGAAATGATCTGCAAATTATCCATAATATATATAATACTGTGCATTTTACTTTATTTTTTATATTGACACAATGTAGAGCCTGCCTAGTCAGGGCTTCAAAGACATCCCACTTTTTATATTAGAAAATTACCATATACAATTAGAAAATAAACTATTCAGAAAGCTTTCTGCCTAGAATCAATTCAATACCTGATTAATAAGTGGAAAAGGAGCACGGTCTTTCCAATATCCTTGGCTGCCAAAATGTGTGAAGCCAGGCTAAATTGTACTCCTAGGCATATGCTGACATTAACAGAAAATCCACTGAAAAATTACAAGTTCTTACTTCTGTGGGGACAATGTTTGCATCTTTTCGCTGAAAGTTTTCTTCTGCTTTTGGTATATTAAAGAGCAGTACAAGTAATACTTAAAACAAAAGTACTCTTGGCTTGGCTTGGCTTGGCTTGAATGTTGAAGATTGCCCTGATGCCTTAGTATGTGTGCCCAGCACCTCTGAGAGCCCCAGGAGGGACTGGACAATCAATGAACCCTCAGGAGTTACGAATTAAGTACTAAAGGTCTCCGAGCTATCAACAGACCAAACAGATTAGATTCATCTCAGGAAAACGAATTGGGTGAGATTACACTCCCACAAAATCTCTGCTGCAATGTCATTGTACTTTGGTGATGTGTGTCCCCATTTCAATGATATATTTTAATTCTTCTCTAAATATACCTGGATAAAAATGACTAAAATCAAAAAGTACACAGTGTCCTGTAATACTTCAAGGACCACTTCTTAGAAATTGCCAGCAACTGTGTCAATTGTGTCATGGAGATTAAACTTGGAACCACATGAATTCTGGAAAACTGTGCCACCTTCCAGGTGGGTGCAGATGAGTGGCATGTTTATATGGAATAGAATTTCAGAGAATATTTTTGGCCAGAAAAAAAAGGACCCTAGGTAAGAAGTTCAGGGTCTTCATTTTGGGAAACATTTTTTTTTTAAACATATGGTCTTTCTTAGAGCATTTGTTTTTCTGAGGTGTAAACTTTTTTACTGAGTATTATGGGTGTTTTGTAGCAGAATGAGAGGGTAGTTAGGTCACTGAGTTCGGCCCAATTACATCTCAAAAAGAATATGCCATCTGTGCAAGCTACATAGAGGACACGGTTGTAAACTGGGTTTTTCATCTCTCAAATCATGTGGACTCATGCTGAGAGACACGTGTGTGTGTGTGTGTGTGTGTGTAGGTTTAAATCCAATGATAGGTTTTTAAAAATGGCATATTTATTTATACATAGTTTTGCAAAATGCATTTAAATCTCATCTGCGATAAAATTAAGTATGTAATATAATCTAATACTATAATGCAAGAAGCATTATTGCAAATCAGTCTTCCTGATTCTCAAAGTGAGATCACATGTGGATTTTAAAAAAATCATTAGACAGAGTCAAGACTTCTAGATGATTACCATTTATTCCTTTGGGTTCAGTTTCCTCATCTGAGTTAGGTACTGTATTAGATGTTATTTAGGGGCCTTCAAGCTCTAAACATTTTATATTGTTTAAATAAAATGATATCTGTAAATTTTCAACACAAACCATGATATAAGGGAAGGATTAAATGAATATTTACTATTCTCATTCCTTTGTTTGATTTTGATCAAACTCTACTGTGAATTTTCCTACAACTCTCATTAATGTGCTTAGCAAAATTTTGCTTTCTTATTGTAGATAATGAGTTTTACATATAGTAATTTGATTTTTTCTAAAAATATGTTCAAAGACCCTGCCTCTCTTCAGATTTTTCAAAGAAAAAATATGAAAATGATACATTATATATCTGAAGATATATATTTAAGTTCTGGATATAATGACATATATTATTTTATTATATTATGATCTAATATATCATTAGCTACAGAAAGTATAAACTACTGATAGTACTGAGTCTGTTTGTCCAATGTAAGAAAAATTTCCACACATAATTCAAATGATACAAATTATTGATTAGAATAAAATTCGTCATGCAACATTGTTTTCAGAATGAATAGATCTTTCAAAATTTTTAAAGAAAATTTATGTTTTATATATCCCAAGCCGGTCTCCTTTACTGGGTTTTTTGATGTAGTTTGATGTTTCGTTGACATATTATTATGTAGTAGAAAAATCAGGGCCTTTAAAGTCTGTTCAAACCACATTATTTCTCCATATCAGAGATATTTTTAACAAGTATTATAATTTCCTATTTAGTCCATTTTCTCCTGTGAGCTGCAACCTACTTTAGGGCATTCTTGCCTGCATTCTTATCTATCATCATATTCCCAGCACACAGCACTGCATTTGATGAATAATAATTAATAAATATCACTAGTGAAAAATCAACTAATGAATAGCCATGCCATTTTTTGTGCCTCAGTTTTCTCATATGTATAATTAGCATATTAGTGTACAGCAATATTTTAAATGATAAAAGTCTAGTATGAAAAATACTTTTGAGACATCTTTTGTTTTTAGAAATATGTTGGTATAAACAATTATTTCCTAAGTTTGATATACCCAAGTACTGAAGAAAAAGTTGTCCTGACAACAAATGTAATCCTGTTTTCAGATGACGTCTAAATCCATCTAGTGCCAACTACAAATAATAGTCTCTGTGAACCCTAATTGAAGAGATAGGCTGCATCATGCTTCATACACTTAATGTTATTGATTATTATTATTAATTATTATTATTATTATTATTATGAAACAGGTTCTCGCTCTGTTGCCCAGGCTGGAGTGCAGTAGTGCAATCTTGGCTCTCTGCATGCAACCTCTGCCTCCCAGGCTCAAGCAATCCTGCAACTTCAGCCTCTGGAGTTGCTGGGACTGCAGGTGAGAGCCACCATGCCTGGCTAAATTTTATATATTTTGTAGAGATGGGGTTTCAGGGCTTTGCCATGCTATCCAGACTGGTCTTGAACTCCTGACCTCAAGTGACGCACTCGCCTGGGCCTCCCAAAGTGCTGGGATTACAGGCATGAGCCACTGTGCCTGGCCCTTAATATTATTTTTAATACAATTTATTATTTTTTAAAAAAAGGAGCAAACAAACTTACTGACTAGCCTGGAGCAGTTGCAATGAAACACATTCATCTTCATTGTATAAAAGAAAGATGTCTAAAGGGCGCTGTCTGATTTAGTGACCCAACAGGAAAGCTAGTCAATAAAGAGTAAAGTAATCTAGTCCTGAAGAATAGAAGGCATGGGCCATAGACTCCACACCTCACCTAGTAACCACTGCTTTCCATATGAAAATGTTCTGTCGTCCAAAACAAAATATATATCACCTATGATTTTTAATACTAAAATATTTTCTTTATCCTTTAACAATATTCCTAATGTTAATATTTTAACATTGACGTTAAAATACTTTCCAAGTTATTTTCAAAGATAAAGGAAAATAATAGCATATTCTTTTTTTTTTTTTTTCCAACTGGTCCTCTGTCTCTCTCACTTCCATAGACTCCTCTTAACTGAGGCTGATAGGCAAATTTTGCTTTGAAAATGTATTTCACCACATGAATAGAAACACTAGAAGGTTTAGAAATGGAAAGAGAAAACGTATTCTGTGTACTTTCAACTTGTAAAATGTGCCATCTACAGTAAGGTGTCAATGTAATTACAGTGCATAGAGAACTCACAACAAAAAAGATTTTATTTTTATCATAAAGAATCAGATGAGAATGTTAGAAATGTAAAATTACTGCAGGAGGTATGTATTATTGATTCCTATAACTATTTGTTTTTGAGACTATGTAAGTAGTATGTATTTCATGTGCACAATTTGAAGAAAATGTAACGCAATTTTTAAAGCCTCAGCATTTTAATGTGACTCCTTTCAACATTCTTTTCTTCCCATATTTTAACATGAAGGGCATCATTTGGAACATATGCCTCTTTCCTAACTAATATATATTAAAAGATTTCCTTTTGGTATGTCTTTCATATACAATTATAAAGTCTATATAAGAGCCCAGTCTTTCAGAAAGCACAGATTTAAGAGCTCCCTTTTTTATAAAGTGGATATTTTGTTCATCACAACTAACTTCATATTACTTGTCATCCTTTTTGATTTCTGAGACACTTTGAAACTTTATTAATGACTTTCCAAATTTATTAATGCAACTTATTAATGGCTACTTCAACATTTCATATTATCTCTGGAATATCTGATAAATTATGTAATTCTGTGTTTTGGGGTTACTTTTATTCTCATTTGGTGTATATAACTATTTTCTCCATACCATATGTTCATATTTATATAAAAACAAATATATTTGATGTAATTGGGTTTGGATTCAGACTTCCAGAATTTGAATTCTAGCTACTATTTAAAAACTGCATGGCTTTGAATAAGCTACTTCACCTCTCCAGGCTTTATTTTCCTCACCTCTAAAACAGGAACAATACTGGTATTTATCTTCTAGCCTTGTTGTACTAATTTGATAAAAATAATATGAATAAATCACCTTAAGCTGAGTCTAGTGAACAGTAAGCATTTAATAAAATTGGCTATTATTAATAGCAGAAGTACTGGTATAGATGAACTTTTTAACATAAAAATTTTACACACTTTAAAAAATATTTTGATGCATAGAAATTTTGAATCAGTGATACCTGTGGCAGGAACAGATTTTATAACTGATCAGATGATATGCTCAAAATAGTGAAATACATGACAAGGCTCAGACACAAATGCTTAACCCCATCCACTGTGTAAAAGTTGAAAAATAGCTAACAGATAACAGCAATATTCTGAACATTCAGTTAATTTACTATTTTGCCTTATTTTTAAGATTTCTTAGTGAGTATTTAACCTCTGATGTATTATTTTTGTGAAAGTAGATATGATTTGGGGTCAATTATTTTTGTCTTTGAGAATGTTAATATCATTTAAATAGTGTTATATAGCGTTTTTTTCTTTTTATTTCTATATAAATATAATTAATTTTGATAGAAACTATCTATTAAGCCCATGTCCTAGACACTTGAATACTTGGCAGTCATTTGATAATTATTTTAGTAAAGCAGTTGATTTCTAAAAAATACAAGTTCAGACTATCACTTCTTTTAATTATTTCTTTAATATTGTTACTTTAGTAAACCTATCCAAATGGTATGAAGAATGCATAGTTTTAGAATAGCAATTTTTAAGATTAGTAAAATTCTCATAACATTATTTTCTACCATATGAGCTACAAAAAAGGAATAATTTTTTTTGAAGTATTTGCTTTCGCGACATAGGTTTTTCTAGGACTTGTATACTCACAATTTAAAACATCTGCAGGGATCTAAAATCAAAGCTAACATTGCCATTATAAAACAAGCATACTTGACTCAGTGTCAACCCTTGTTGGGAAAACACTATTTTCTCAGAGGCAGGAAAATATGTTTGTAGGGCAGTGGCTTACACAGTTTTCTTTCCTGGACCCCTGAGTAATGATATAAGCCGTCCTCGCTGTTTGTCTACTAGTCTGTTTTCCCATATTATTGAAAGGTAATATATAACTGCTTCTGAGACTCTATGGCTTAGAAACCACTGAATACCAAATTGCATGTTTTAGTTACTGTCAATTGGTGAAGAAAAATCTGCTACCCAGCATGATCCCAAGAGTGAAATATCCAGTCTCTCAATCTCTCAATTACTGCCCTTTCCATAGATGCCCCTAGCTTGTATTTCCAGTTGTCCCATGGTCAACATGAGAAAACCAGGCTCTGCATCCTCCTGTATTCTTAATTCAATGGCTCTATGAGCCAGATAATTAAACTAATAGCTGTGATTTTTAGTTTAATTATTTGAAAAATGAGGCTACCTCATCAATGTGTAGGATATTACCAACATGCAGAAGCCTCCCTTGTGCCTCCTTCCAATAATTGTTATTCTAAGAAATAGTCAATATTCTGACCTTTATCATGATAGACTAGTTTTCTCTTATTTTAAATTCCAATCAAATGGAAGTTTATAGTATTTGCTTTTTGTGGCAGGGTTCTTTTACTAACTATGATGATGATGATACTCATTGATATTCATCTGCTGTTGTGTTTAACAGTAATTGGTTGTTGATAGACTATAATTTTCTTTAATCCAGTCTAATATTGATAGACATTTAGGGTACTTCCAGTTTGAAACTACTATGAATAATGCTACTATGTCCATAATTGTGTATATCTTTTGGTATATTTCTCTTTTTTATAGATGTAGTGGAGCAATACCAAGTGACAGGGTTGCTGTACGCTCAGTTTTAGAAGCTATTGACAAACAGTATTCCATAGTAGATATACTAATTTATACTTCCACCAGCAGTATATGAAAAGTCTAATACTTTTTTCACACTGTGGAGTGTATAGTCATCTCTCATTGTGGTTTTCATTGGTATGTCTTCAAGATGCCTATGGGGGTTTTGAATATCTCTTTTAAGAAATACTTGTTCAATTTTTTGCCAATTTGTTGAGTAGTTGTCTGCTTTTCCTTATTAATTTTTATAAGTTCTTTATTCCACATAACTCCTTTGCGTGATATATATATTATAATATATTCTCCCATTGTTTAACTTGCTTTTTTACTCTCTTGTTGGTGTGTTTTAAGGAATATGCCCTTAACTTAATGAGTTCAATTTATCAATTTTTTTCTTTATGGTTAGTACTTTCTGTGACCTATCGAAGACATATTACATATTGTACATCTGCCTCCCCTGTTCCCACCACTTGGTTGGGGTGGGAGGAGGAAAAGGAGTCATATAAATGTTTTTTTATAGTACCATTAAGAGACTATTTTACCTTTTTCATTCATATCTACAATCCTTGTGGAATTTACTTCGGTTTGTTTCGCATTATGCTTTATTTTTCCACGTAGGAATCCAATTGACCTAGTTATGTAGGATTGGTGTTTTCCCTTCCTTAATCATTTTCATTGCTGAAGCCATCTTGCGCTAGAGTTTCATTTGAGGGAAAGTTCTTAATAATAGCCTATTTTAAAAAAGTAGATAAGAGTTTTTTTAGATTTTATAGTATTGCTTCTCTGTTTTTAAAAATATTTTTATAGAGACTTGCTGTGTTTCCTGGATTGGTCTCAGACTTTGTCCTCAAGCAATGCTCCCACTCCAGGCTCCCAAAATGCTGGATTACAGGCATGAGCCATCAAGCCTGGCCCAGTTTTTATGCTAGATTTCTCTAACAAATTTTTCACTTTATCTAAGTAATTCATTGACATGCAGTTACTCATTCAGTCCCTTTGGTTTGCTTTTTACTGTCTGTAGTAATCTAAACCTTTACTTTCTTTTTGTTTTGCTACTTTACTTTTATAGATTTGGGGGGTGATCTTATATTCTTTTTTTATTATTTCAATAGTTTTTGGGAAACAGGTGGTTTTGGTTACATGGATAAGGTCTTTAGTGGTGATTTCTGAGATTCTGGAACACCCGTCAACTGAGCAGTGTTCACTGTACCCAATGTGCAGTCTTGTATCCCTCATCCATCTCCCACCTTTCCCCTTGAGTCCCCAAAGTCTATTATGTAATTATATCATTCTTATGCTTTTGCATCCTCATAGCTTAGCTCTTGGTTATAAGTAAGAATATATGAAGTTTGGTTTTTGATTTCTGAGTTACTTCACTTAGAATAATGGTCTCCAACTACATTCGAGTTGCTGCAAATGCCATTGTTTCATTCCTTTTTACGGCTGAGTAGTATTCTATGCTATATATATATATCAATGTGATATATGTGATATATATATCAATGTGATATATGTGATATATATGATATATATCAATGTGATATATGTGATATATATGATATATATCAATGTGATACATGTAATATATATCAATGTGATACATATGATATATGTGATATGTATCAATGTGATATATATGATATATGTGATATATCAATGTGATATATATGATATATATCAATGTGATATATGTGATATATATCAATGTGATATATGTGATATATATCAATGTGATATATGTGATATATATCAATGTGATATATGTGATATATATCAATGTGATATATGTGATATATATCAATGTGATATATGTGATATATATGATATATGTGATATATATCAATGTGATATATATGATATATGTGATATATATCAATGTGATATATATGATATATGTGATATATATCAATGTGATATATATGATATATGTGATATATAATCAATGTGATATATATCACTGTGATATATATCATATATGATATATAATCAATGTGATACATATATGACATATGATATATACATCAATGTGATATATATATCACATATATATATCACTTTTTTTATCTACTTGTTGGTTGATGGATGTTTAGGTGGGTTCCATATTTTTGCAATAGTGAATTGTGCTGCTATAAGCATGCATGTGCAAGTGTCTTTTTCATATAATGACGTCTTTTAATTTGGTTAGACAACTAGTAGTAGTATTGCTGGATCAAATGGTAGATGAACATTTAATTCTTTAAGGAATCCCCATACTGTTTTCCATAGTGGTTGTACTAGTTTACATTCCCACCGGCAGTGAAGTGTTCCCTTTACACCACATCCATGCCAACATCTATTTTTTTAAATTATGGCCATTCTTGCAGGGTAAGGTAGTATCTCACTGTGGTTTTAATTTGCATTTCCCTGATAATTAGTGATGTTGACCATCTTTCACATGTCTGTTGGCCATTTGTATATCTTCTTTTGAGAATTGTCTATTTGCTTTCCTTGCCAACTTTTTGATGGGATTATTTTTTTCTTGCTTATTTGTTTGAGTTCCTTGCAGATTTTGGATATTTGTCCTTTGTATTATGCATAGTTTGTGAATATTTTCTCCCAATCTGTGGGTTGTCTGTTTACTTGTCCAATTATTTCTTTTGCTGTGCAGAAGCTTTTTAATGTAATAAGGTCCCATCTTTTTATTTTTGTTTTGGTTGCATTTCCTTTTGTGTTCTTGGTCATGAACTCTGTCTAAGCCAATGTCTAGAAGAGTTTTTCCAATGCTATTTTCTAGAATTTTTATAGGTTCAGATCTTAGATTTAAGTCTGAGATCTTGAGTTGATTTTTGTGTGAGAGATGAGGATCAAATTTCATTCTTCTACATGTGGCTTGCAAATTATCCCAGCACCATTTGTTAAATAGGGTATTATTTCTCCAATTAATGTTTTTGTTCACTTTGTGAAGATTCATTGGCTGTATTTAGCTCTATTTCTGGGTTCCCTATTCTGTTCCATTGGTCTACATGCCAATTTTTATACCAGTACCATGCTGTTTTAGTTGCTATATCCTTGAGGTATAGTTGGAACTCAGGTAATGCAATTTTTTTTTTGGCAGGTGTTACAAAAAGGGTTGTGTTCTTGATTTGATTCTCAGCTTGGTAATTGTTGGTATATAGCAGCTTTACTGATTTTTGTATACCACTTTTGTATCCTGAAACTTTACTGAGTTTGTTTCTCAGATTTAGGAGCTTTTTGGATGAGTCTTTAGGGTTTTCTATGTATACAATCATATCATCAGTG
Organism: Homo sapiens; assembly: GCF_000001405.40. Lineage (NCBI taxonomy): Eukaryota > Metazoa > Chordata > Mammalia > Primates > Hominidae > Homo > Homo sapiens. The sequence goes on along the minus strand of NC_000011.10, from coordinate 97,593,226 downwards.
AACAGGAACAGTTTGACTTCTTTACTGATTTGGATACCCTTTATTTCTTTCCCTTGGCTGGTTTCTCTGGCTAGGACTTCTAGTAGTATGTTGAATAGAAGTAGTGAAAGTGGACATGCTCTCTTCTTCTAGCTGTCGGGGGAAATGCTTTTAACTTTTCTCCATTCAGTATAATGTTGGCTGTGGGTTTGTCATAGATGGCTTTTATTACCGGGAGGTATATACCTTTTATGACTATTTTGCTGAGGTTTTTAATCATAAAGGGATGCTGAATTTTGCCAAATTATTTGTCTGAGAGTTTTCAGAGTTTATTTAGATAATCATAAGATTTTTCTTTTTAATTCTGTTTAAGTGATGTATCACAATTGTTAAATTGTGTATGTTAAACCATCCCTGCATCCTTGGCATGAAACCCACTTGATCATGGTGGATTATCTTTCTGATTTGCTGTTGAATTCGGTTAGCTAGTATTATGTGGAGGGTTTTTGCATCTATGTTCATCAGGGATACTGGTCTGTAGTTTTCTTTTTTGTTATGTTGTTTCCTCATTTTGGTATTAGGATGATATTGGTTTCATAGAATGATTTAGGGAGGATTCCCTTTTTCTCTATCTTTTTGAATAGTTTCAGCAGGATTGGTACCAATTGTTTTTTGAATGTCTCGTATAATTCATCTGTAAATCCATCTGGTTCTGGAATTTTGGGGCAATTTTTTTATTACTATTTCAATCTTGCTACTTGTTATTGGTCTGTTCAGAATTTCTATTTCTTCCTGATTTAATCTAGGAGGGTTTTATACCTCCAGGAATTTATCCATCTTCCCTGGATTTTTTAATTTGTCATGTAAAGGTGCTCATAGTAGACTTGAATGGTCTTTTGCATTTCTGTGGTATTGTTTTGTTTCTAATTGAGCTTATTTAGATCTTATTTCTTCTTTTCTTAGTTAATCTCGCTAATAGTCTTATCAAATTTGTTTATGTTTTCAAAGAAGCGGCTTTTTGTTTCATTTATATTTCATATTTTTTGTTTCAATTTCATTTAATTCTGCTATGAAATTTGTTATTTCTTTTCTTCTGCAGTCAGTCTTTGGGTTTGGTTTGTTCTTGTTTCTCTAGTTCCTTGAGGTATGACCTTAGATTGCCTATTCATGCTCTTTCAGACTTTTTGATATAGGAATTTAATGCTATGAACTTTCCTCTTGGTAGTGCTTTTTCTGTACCCCAGTGGTTTTGATAAGATGTTTCACTATTGTTCCATTCACAGAATTTTTAAATTTCTATCTTGATTTCATTGTTGACCCTAAGATCATTCAAGATAATAGTATTGAATTTACATGTATTTGTATGGTTTTGAGGGCTCCTTTTGAGGTTAATTTTCAGTTTTGTTTCACTGAGGATGGAGAGAATGCTCAATGTAATTTAGATTTCCTTAAATTTATTGAGACTTGTTTTGTGACCTATCATATGGTCTATCTTGGAGAATATTCCATGTGCTGATGAAAAGAATGTGTATTCTGCAGTTGTTGAGTAGAATGTTCTGTAAATATCTGTTAAGTACATTTGTTCTAGGGAATAAAGTCCATTGTTTCTTTGTTGACTTTCTTTTTTGATGACCTGTCTAATGCTGTCTGTGGAGTATTGAAGTCTCCCACTATCATTTTGTTGCCATCTGTCTCATTTCTTAGGTCCAGTAATAATTGTTTTATGAATTTGGAAGCACCAGCGTTAGTTTTATATACATTTAGGATAGTGATATTTTCCTCTTGGACTAATTTTTTTGTCATTATATAATGTCCCTCTTTGTCTTAATTTACTGTTGTTGCTTCAAAGTCTGTTTTCTGACATAAGAATAGCTATTCCTGTTTGCTTTTGGTTTCCTTTTGTGTGGAGTATCTTTTTCCACCCCTTTACCTTAAATTTATGTGAGTCTCTTGGAGACAGCAAATACTTGGTTGGTGAATTTTTATCCTTTCTGCCATTATGCATCTTTTAAGTGGAGCATTTAGGCCATTTACATTCAACAATAGTATTGAGATGTAAAGTACTGTTCTATTAATTATCCTAGTTGTTGCCTTAATACGTTTTTTATTATGTTAGTGTTTTATAGGCTCAGTGAGATTTATGCTTTAATTTGATGTATTTTGAGGTTTTGTTTCAAAATTTAGAGCTCCTTTTAGTAATTCTTGTAGTGCTGGCTTGTCAGTGGCAAATTCTCTCAGCATTTGTTTGCCTGAAAAAGACTTTATCTCCACTTCATTTATGAAGTGTTTTGCTGGATATACAAATCTTGGCTGAAAATTCTTTTGTTTTGGCTAAAGATGGGACCTCAATCCCTTCTGACTTGTAAGGTTTCCGCTGAGAAACCTGCTGTTAATGTGATAGCTTTGTCTTTATAGGTTACCCGATGCTTTGGTCTCACAGCTGTTAAGATTATTTTCTTTATCTTGACTTTAGGTAACCTGATAACAATATGCCCAGATGATAATCTTTTTGCAATGAATGTCCCGGGTGTTCTTTTAGCTTTTTATATTTGAATATACAGATGTCTAGCAAGGCCAAGGAAGTTTTCTTCAATTATTCCCTCAAATAAGTTTTCCAAACTTTTTAATTTCTCTTCTTACTCAGGAACACCAACTATTCTTAGTTTTGACCATTTAATAAAATTCAATTTTCTTGGAGGCTTTGTTTATTTATTATTATTATTTTTTGTTGTCTTTGTCTGATTGGATTAATTCAAAAGCCTTGTCTTTGAGCTCTGAAGTTTTCTTCTCATTGTTCTAGTCTATTGTTGAAAGTTTCCAGTGCATTTTGTATTTATGTAATTGTGTCTTTCATTTCCAGAAGATGTGACTGTTTTTTCTTTATGATGTATATTTCTCTGAAGAATTTTTTAATTCATATCCTGTATTTTCTTTTAAACTTAAGTTGTTTTTCACTTTTTTTCTGATATCTTAGTAGCTTAATAATCAAATTTCTGAATTATTTATCTGGCAATTCTGAGTTTCATCTTGGTTTGGGTCCATTGCTGGGGAGCTATTGTAATCTTTTGGGGATGTTATAGAACCCCGTTTTGTCATTTTGTCATGTTGATAACATTACTTCCCTGTCATTTGGGTAAACTGTTTGAGTGGAAAGATCCAGAACTCAAGTCCCGCTCTTCAGATTCTTTCATCCCTTAGGATGATCCATTAATGTGGTGCCCTCCCCCTTCCCCTACAGCGAGGGCTTCCTGAGAGTCAGACCACAGTGGTTGTTATTGCTCTTCTGGGTCTCGCCACCCAGCAGAGCTACTGGGTTCTGGGCCAGTACTGGGGAATGTCTGCAAAGAGTCCTGTTTTGTGGTTCTTCTTCAGGTCACCCAGCAATGGATACCAGCACTTCCCTGCTCTGGTGGAGGTAGCAGGGGAGTTAAGTACACTCTGTGAGAGTCCTTGGTTGTAGATATGTTAGTGTGCTGGCTTTCTCAAATGCTTGTTATGCTAGCAGTGAAGTTGTCTTATGGATAGACTCAGGCCCTCTGGTTAGTCAGGATGTTTTAGGCAGTGGACTTAGCTGTTGTTTTCTGCTTCCTGGGAACAGAGTTATTCTGTCATGAGTTGCTGCAGTGGCCTCAGTTGGTTGGCCTCCAGCAAGAAGGTGGTATATTCTAGAGAGCACCAGCTGTGGTAGTAGTAGGGAGATCTGAGCTTGCCCTAAGTTGGTAACTTTTCTGATTTCTCAGGCAATTGTGGGGCCATAAAGCTCCCAAGAGTTTCTGTCTTTTGTATTTTGCTACCTGGGTGGGTAGAGAAATACCATCAGGTGGGGACAGGGCTAAGCGGGTCTGGGCTCAAACTCTTTTGGGCAGGGCTTACTGCAGCTATGGTGGGGGATGAGGGTATATGGTTCTCGACCCAATGGGTTTATGTTCCAGATGGAATTATGGATGCCTCTGCTGTGTGTTATAATTTGCCACAGAAGTGGGGGATAGACAGTAGCAAGAGGCCTCACCCTCCTCCCATGCATTTGGCAAGATCAGTCCTGCTCCTGCAGTGCCCTACTCAGACCTTGTGCCAGGCCATGAGCTTCTCCACTGAGAAAACAAGCATGTCTTTCAGGCCTTGCCCCCACCCTCTGTCCATGCTGTCGGTAGTGGCTCCCATGCTTGTTAACTGCAGCAGTTCTCATTTGCCCCTCCAATTCTGCTTAAGAAAACATATACCCAGTTGAAATTGTTACAAATTTCAGTTGGAAGCTTCCTTCACCCTGCGAGCCCTCCCTAATCCTGCTGGCTGCCTTCCCCAAGGGCCACTGTGAGATATAGTCAGGGATGGCTTCCCTGGGCTTTAGCTAGAGACTGTGAGTGCTTACACGGCTCTTCCCACAGCTGTTTCTACTTTTATATTTTGTGCAGCTCCCTAAATCCATTTTACCTCTAGGTAAGGTTAAATCCTTCTCTTATGATCTGGATTTTCAAATTCTCTAGTGGGGATGTGTTTTTGGAGGTAGGTTTTCCTCCTCTTATGTTTTGGGAACTCACAGTTTTTCATCTATCTCACAGAATTTGCAGTGACATGCCACTTCTTTTAAAGAATCCGTGAATTCTTTCACTTTTCCTGGTTATGTTCTTGTGGTGGTTCTTGGAGCAAGCATTCATGTGAGTCTCCACACACTGTTCTATCCATCAAAATGGGAGCTGCACATTAGCCCTGTCTCCTAAGTGCCTTATTTCTCCTAATTCTGATTTATATATAGATAGATAGATAGATAGATAGATAGATAGATAGATAGATGATAGATAGATAGATTTTTGTTTTTTTTTTGAGATGGAGTCTTGCTCTGTCGCCCAGGCTGGAGATCAATGGCGCAATCTTGGCTCACTGCAAGCTCCACCTCCCAGGTTCACGCCATTCTCCTGCCTCAGCCTCCCAAGTAGCTGGGACTACAGGTGCCTACCACCACGCCCGGCTAATTTTTTTTGTATTTTTAGTAGAGACAGGGTTTCATCGTGTTAGCCAGGATGGTCTCAATCTCCTGACCTCGTGATCCATCCGCCTCAGCCTCCCAAAGTGCTGGGATTACAGGCGTGAGCCACCGCGCCCAGCCAATTTTATATTTTTTATACTGATATTTGTGGATCCCAAATTTGATTAGTCTTTCTAGGGGTTCAACAATTGTATTAATATTTGATATAAAATACATGAATAAATGTTGGGCTTTTAATTTTCTCTATTTTATTTTATGGTTTATTGGTTCTAATTTTTTAGTTTCATAAATCATTATTCTTTCTGCATCATTGTGAAATGCATAAAATTCCTTCATTTTATTTCTGTAAATATGTCACAAAGCATTGAAATACATTTTCTTTATGTGTTTTCAAAACATGTAATAACTCTCTATAACTTATTTTTTTGATCCATCAGTTAAAGGCATATTACTTAATTTCTAAACTTCCTAGAATTTTCTAGCTGTATTTCTGTTATTCATTTCTTGTTTAATTCTACTGTAGTCAGATTGCATATTTAGTGTGGTTTTAAAACTTTGATATTAATTGAGCCAAATATTGGTATTTTTTTCATAGTCACATGAAAAGAATGTATGCCCTACAGTTATTATGTACTATTTTCTGTATATCGTTTTTTAAATGTCATTCAAATTTTCTACTTTCTAAATAATATTTTTCTAATCTTGTTACTGAGAGTTTTTTTTTAATTTCAACTGTATTTTTCATTAACATTTTTCCTTTTTTTTCAGTTTTTACCTTATATGTGTTAAAACTATTTTATAGGATGCATGCATTTTTATGATTGCTTTGTCTTAGTTTTAAATTGACCTTTTCTTTTATGTTTTTTCATTTTCTTCTATATTATTTATTGCCCCAGAGTTTATGCTTTTCCATTTTAGTATAGATATATCAGCCTCCTTTTATATGGTCTTTGTCTAGAATGTCTTTCTCCACAATTCTACTATCAAATATTTGTGTCCTTTTTTTTAAGATATCTCTTGCATATGGCATATATTTTTTTTCTTATTAAAATCTGATTTTACAGTCAACTTGTAATTAAAAAATTTATTATTCAAATTCAATGTAAAAACGTATTGTTTTTAATCTACCTTTTTCCCATTTATTTCAAATTTTGTTTCATCAGTCCTTTGATTTCTGACTTCTGTTTTAGGTAAACAGTCAATTCTAAGACAATCTTGTACATTTTTAGGGCTAATACTTTTTTTGTTGCTCTGCCTTTAAAAAAAATATTTTCTGTGTTTTTGGTTTTCCCTCATTTTAACATGATGACTTTCTGATGTGGTATCTTTACTAGGGCTTAAATAACTGAGAATAGTTGTGTCATTTGCTAAAATAGGAAGATTTGGATACTTAATGGAGGAAACTGAAGGTTAATTTGAGACATGGTGACACTGAATTTCCTATATATTTGAGCTCAAAAATCATGTAAGGGCCGGTCATATAAATCTAAAATGCACTAGGGTGGAAATGGTGATAGATACAACTACCTATAAAATATGACATAATGTATGAAAAAGTATCTAGATGATGAAATAATAGGAGGTACTGAAGTGGAAGCAGATAACACAGACAATTGTTTCTAAAGATTTGATGAAGGTAGGGAGTTCTAGATGGGGTATATTTGTTGATATATATGTATGATGTCAAGGGAGTGTGTATATATATGTATATATGTATGTATGTACGTGTGTGTGTGTGTGTGTGTGTGTGTGTGTGTGTGTGTAAAAAGAAAGGTTGCAGGGAAGAGTCTCACTCTTTCCCCCAGGCTGGAGTGCTCAGGCAATTCTCCCACCTCAGCCTCCTGAGTAGCTGCGACTACAGGTACACACCACCACATCTGACTCATTTTTGAATTTTTGTAAAGGCAGGGTTTCACTATGTCACCAAAGATGGTCTGGAATTCCTAGGCTCAAGCAATCCTCCTATGTTTGGCCTCCCAAAATGTTGGGATTATAGGTGTGAGACACCATGCTTAATTCATTAAGAGACAAATTTACATCAATAATTCTGTATGGATATCACTGTATATAATTTCATCTTGATATGATCTAAGAGACAAGGGAGAGGGATTGGAATTCAGTGGTTGTTTTTATTAGAAGTTCTTAAAACTGTGTGCCCTTGAAAAATATGTTGAAGTCTTAAGTCATAGGTATCTCTGGTGCCTTTGAATGTGACTTTACTTGGAAATAAAGTCTCTGAAGATGTATTCAAGTTAAAATGGGATCATTAGGGTGAGTCCTAATTCAATATAACTGGCATCATAAGAAGGATTTTTGGACGGAGAGACAAACACGCAGGAAGAATATCACATAACAGAGGCAGAAATCGAAGAGGTGCACCTGGTTATTAGGCTGTTTTGTATAGCTATAAAGAAATACCTGAGGCTGGATAATTAATAAAGAGGTTTAATTGGCTCACAGTTATTCAGGCTGGACAGGAAGCATGCTGCTGGCATCTGCTTAGCTTCTGGTGAGGCCTCAGGGAGCTCTTACTCATGGCTGAAGGTAAAGCAGGAACAGGCACATCACATGGTGATAGTAGAAGTGAGAGACTGGAGGAAGGGGGTCCCAGGCTTTTCAACAACCAGATCTTGTGTGAACTAACTGAGTGAGTTATCACTTATCATGGGATGGTGCTAAACCATTGATGAGGGATCTACCACCATGATCTAATCACCTCCCACCAGGCCCCAGCTCCAATATTGGAAATCACATTTCAACATGAAATTTGGAGGGGACAAACATCCAAACTATATCAAGTGGCAAGCCAAAGGATGCCAAGGACTGACAGCCTCCACCACAAGCTAGAAAGGGAAGGAAGGGTTGTTCCTTACAGGTTTCAGAGGAAGCATGGCACCACTGACATGATGATTTCAATCTTTTAGTTTCCAGAACTGTAAGATAATAAATTTGTGTTGTTTTAAGCCACCTAGTTTTTGGTTGCTTAAATTTTATTAGGACACCACTAGGTAAATAATACGGAAGTCAAAACCACTTCTCATTAGAAAAAGGAGAGTTAAGTTTATATGGGTCCTGATTGGTTAGCAGAGTTGGTGGTATCAAAATATCTCTTGTAATACTTTTGATGCCTCAGTAAATTAAGAAGCAACCTAAAACAGCAAATAAGTAAAAGAAAGGTTTGAGTAGAGAAGACAAGGTGAGGTATAGTCAACTTAGAAAGTGTGTAATTAAATGGGAAATTAAGTGGGAAATAAAATAAGATCACTAACAGTGTTGTGAGACCAAATGTAACTTGTGGTAAACTATTTGAGGTGGAATATATGTGCTTGGTTTCATATTTTACTTTTTTAGGCATGCTTAGCTACTTTGAATCAGGGATAAAAATCTGTTGGGGGAGAACAAGGAGAGTTGGTCTAAGCCACTGTGTATATTCAAGGATGTGATAATAGTCACAGACCCATCTGGTCAGGATAGAAGAACAATTGAAAATGTTAATATGGCGGAGTCAATTGGTAGGTGGCCTCAGTTGGGATTCAAAATTGTTAGAGAGGTTATTTAGAATATGTGAGCAGGAAGTGAGAAATTTGGTTGAAGGTGGATGCCTGAAGTTAATATTAAGAGGCTGTGCATTAGTTAGTATTAAACTAAGAAGCTTCACAAATGTTTTCTATTCAGGGCACAGATACAAAATAAAAACATGTACATGGGCAAGCTGAGGTAAACAGAGTTCCTCTCATTCAGGGCCAGCAAGGCAGCAGACTCAGACCCTCATAGTCCCCACATAGCTGTCCTTGTGACTGAAGTGATTATCTGGAATACACCTGTATTTTAATAATGGCAGCAATGCGTATCACAGCAAGATGATGAGAGACTCTGGCCTAACCTAAGACCATAGATGACTATGGTGGCTAAGGTGAAGGAGGTGTAAATTCTGTTGGCATGTGGTAAAGCAACTGAGAGTTTAGAGCATCGGATGGATCCGCTAAATGGATGCTGAAATATGAGGACTGATGCTCTAAATAGTGATGGCAATGAAGATGGTGAAGGTGTTAAAATCTTCAACTAAAGAGGCAAGTAATCTTGGATTTGATAGTCTGGAAAGTACTGAGACAGACAGGGAAAACTGGGCAGGAGAAACTCCTCCCCATTTTTCCTTGTGTGCACTTGACTGTGCTAGCTGTGTTCAGCCTTGCAGCCTGGCTAAGGGAGGAGACCACCCCTCATATTGTCTTATACCCAATTTCTGCCTCCGAAGTAAAAACTAAAAGGCAGAAATGAAATCCACAAGCAGACAGCCCGGTGCCACACCCTGGGCCTGGTAGTTAAAGATCGACCCCTGACCTAATCGGTTATTTGCATAAGAAAAGCACTGTGAAGATCCGTGTCCTGTTCTGCTCCATTTGAATTAGCCATGCATGCAGCCCCCAGTCACATACCCCCTGCTTGCTCAATTGATCAGGACCTTCTCACGTGGACCCCCTTAGAGTTGTGAGCCCTTAAAAGGGACAGGAATTGCTCACTTGGAGAGCTCGGTTGTTGGACACGTGAGTCTTGCCTTAGCTCCTGGCCAAACAAAGCCCTTCCTTCTTTAACTCTGAAGGGTTTTGTCTGCGGCTTGTCCTGCTACATGGCAACCATGAACACTTTCTTTCACAAAGTGAACCAACACAGAACAGAAGGGAACAGAGTACTCTGACCATAAACACCCTGGTTAACAAGTGCAGGCACTTTCCAAAAGACCCTCCCCAAATGTGCATGCCCAGTAATGTCCTATCCTGACCTTTGCTTCATTTTAATAGTAAAAATCACACTCCTAAGTGGAGATTTAAGATGCTAATGAGACCAGCATCACATGAAGAAGCATAAGGAGAAACTGCACAGGTGAAATTCACAGACCACCCCAAATATGCAATGATGTCACCCAGAGGAGGTCCAAAGGAAATAAAACCTCAGAATAATGACTAACTTGCTTTCTGAAGCAAGTCTTTTCCTTTTCCTGTTTCCCTTTCTGCTGGAGCTGAAAGTCCCAATAAACTGCCTTGCTCAAACCCATCTCAGACTCTTAGTTTGTTTCTATTTACCAAGGGTCAACAACCCACCAGCCAGTAACAGTACAAGTGGTATAGCTAACAGCATTTGCTTTAAAGGAGCTCAGGATTTTAGAGATGTGACAGGAGCTACAGTCTGGAATTTCTAAGAAGCAGCAAGAAGCAAACCTACCTCAACTGTACTCCCTGCATTGATTGGTATGGGAGAGAAAAATAACAGCTACCACTAAATGATGACTACTTAAGTTAAAATCAGGAGAGTTTGAAAAGTTTTATTTAGAGTCCAAAAAAATAAGCAAACATTGAAGTTATAGAGTATTTTGCTTAACAAATAGAATGAATTTTCATAAAGAATAACATGAGGCTTTTGTTATTGGTGACAACTGGTATTTATTAAGATGTAAGGCATGATGAACTGCTAGAGACATCTGATTATTCTAATTAAAGCTACCTTCTTGGGACTAGTGTTTTGGGCAGTTTTTGGTGATAAGTTGGGTATAATTGAGGCTGTGGTTTGTTTTACCTGTATGTAGTCTTACCATATTTAGCCAACAACAATATAAAATATTCAATTAAATTTGAGTTACATATAAACAACAAAAATTTTTTTTATATAAGGAGAGCTCAAATATTTCATGGGATCTACTTAAAATATTTTTGTTATTTATAATAAATTCAAAGTTAACTGTGTTAACTATATTTTATCTAGCAAACTCATCTATATAGCACATCAGTATGCATACCTTTTCTATGCTGTGGGTGGAAAAGTGATTTTAGAAAGTAAAATGTTAACTTGTGCAGTATTTACTGTATGGACCTAGGAAAAGTCAAATAAACAATTATTTCAGAAGTGACTGCTAACCATATCTAGAGATCCAGGCTTCAAAGAAAATAATAGTTTCTGAATGGTTGCATTGTCTTTTGATTTGCTGAATTATTTGCTGTCTTTATTTTGCCTTCACTTTTGAAAGACAATTTTGATGAATATAAAATTCTAGGTTGCATTTTTTTTCTTTCTTTCAACAACATTTATTTCACTTTACTTTCTTCATCTTTGCATGGTTTTTGATGAGAAAACTTCTGCAATTTTTATTGCTTGTTACTGTTTGGGTAAGATGTTTTCTCTATCTCCTTCCATCCTAGTCATGCTTCTTTCAGGATTCTGTTTGCATTTGGTTTTATGCAATTTGAGTGTGCTATGCCTTCATGTAGATTTTTTTTGGTGTTCATTCTCCTTGGTGTACTTCCTGGATCTGTAGTTTACTATCTGTTATTAATTTTGAAAAATTCTTAACTATTATTACAATTTTTTTTTTCTGTTCCATTCTCTTTCTTCTTCTGATATTTCAATTACATGTATTTATATCTTTTGAAATTGTTCCATGGTTATTGGATTGTCTGTTTTCATGTTGTTTTGCATTTTTCGTTACTTTTTATGCTTGCATTTCAGTATTGGAAATTTCTATTGGCATATCTTTAGCTCACTGATTCATTTTCAGCCATACCCGAGCTATGAATGAGCATCCCAAAAACATTCACTTTGCTTGTTTGTGTTTTTTTCCTAGCATTTTCTTTTGATTAATTCTTAGAGTTTTTATCTTTTGGTTTACATTACACATCTGCTCTTACATGTTGTCTACTTTTTTGAGTAAATATCTTGATAAATCATAGTTATTTCAACATCCTTTCTTATATTCTATAATAACATCTGTGTCATTTTTTAGTCTGGTTCTGTTGTTTGTTTTATGTTCACAATATGCTTTGTCTTACCTTTAGCCTTCCTTGTTTTTGTTTGTTTTGTTTGCCAAAAGCTGGAGATGATATACCAGGTAGTAGCGACTAAGGGAAAGGCCTATAATCTGAGGATAATTGAAGTTGTCTGAGCTTAGTTGAGGTTAATAGGTTAATAGCCAGGAGGTGAGTTTTGTGTGATGATTGCTGCAGCTACAGGTCTAGTTTCCTTCTTGTTGCCTCTTCTGTTGTCTTCGTCTAAGAACTCTTCCTGAAAAGTCTCCTTTAGCTGCAATCCACTGTCATTATACTAGATCCCTATTGATGTGATACTAAGAAGTGAGGGAGGAAAGGCTTTTATAATCTTATAATTAAATCAAGTTATTTTAATGTTTTTGCTCCTGGGCTATCCTGAGCCCTTCACAAATGGTTCCAATCTTCTACCCACTCGTCATTAACAAGAGACAGGAGGCTCTAGAGTAGCTATCTGTGGATAAATGCCCTTCCCTCCAGGTGTGATAAGACTCTCTGAAAGTCTTATCACCTGGAGAGTAAATCTTTGTTAAGAGGAAGCCTCTAGATGTATTTCAAAATGGCTCCTTTTCCTCTCACCTTGCTAGAGCCTTGCTAGAGCCCAGCTAGAATCGTTTTTGGCCCTTTACTGTGAGAACTTTGTGGGATTCTTGGAGGTAAAACCCACAAAAGTGTGGAGGCCCCCTTAAAACTGTGATTCATGGAGTTTCATGCCTCATACTCACCCTCTGGCATTTCAAGTATTCCTACCAATTAATGGCTCTGGTGGCTTTTGCTCCAGGTAAATAACACCTCCACTGATTCCTTGAATGCTCCGGCCTCTTGCAGTGACAGTTTGCCCTGAGAACTCAATTCTCTGGTGAGTACAAGAAAAATTGTTTATTTCCATTATGTCTAGCTTTGTGGTTGTAAGGGTGGGAATGATGAATATAAAGTTTTTTCTTTATATGTCAAATCTGAAATTACCTTTTGAAACAGCATGAGATTATTGCCTAGTCATGCTATCAGATATGGGGTCTTTGGCTAATGGAAATTTCTTGGAAATAGAAGAACTAGGCAAATGCTTTCAAACATATTACGCATTGTTCTTATATGCACATTGGGCAATAGAAATGACCAAATACATCAGCAGATTAATGGGGGTTTTCTCTGGGAGGCTGAATTTCTAGGTGATTTTATAGGTTTTATAAAAAGTGTTATGTTTTATATATCATATACAATAACTTTTCACGATAGGAAATGCTATGTTTTATAAAATAAGTATAAACTTTATAGAATAAGTTTTGCCTTGGTAAGCACAGAATACTGGGAAGAATGGGAAAGTAGGAAATTTTTAGGTTCTCAATAACACTTTTTAGAATGTGAATGATGAGGTTACATTACTGCAATTTTAAAAAATAATGTAGTGTAAATATAATAAGTTGAAAGTGTAGAGAAGGAAAAAATGGCTTTTACTCTTCTAGGTCCTTTGGGCTATGAATTGACAGAAAACAGATTAACAGTAGAAAAACCATTTAAGTTGTGTACATATGCACAGGAGTCCCACAGATATATGAGACTCAAGAAGGGACAGATGATTAGAGCTTACATAGCATCTTGAGCTACAGAAAGGAAGAGGGGCTTGGGGTTTCTGGGGGGATGGTGGAGACAAATTATGAGAGTATTAGAGGAGCAAATGTATTGAAGTAATTTGTTGCTTTGCTATGAAGATAAAATCTCTCAAGTGACAAATGTTATCTCTAAGCAACTCTCTTGTAGATATTTTCACTAGGAAAAACCTTTCCTTTATTGATGGACGTTTTATTTACAAAATGGAAGCTTTTCAGAGCCACCTCTGTGTCTGCAGTTTCTTAATCAGCTTGAAATAATATGTCAAAGAGAAATATTTTGGGGTGGCCTATTCTGGTCTCCTACAGTCATATTTTGGGGTAGTATGCCCTGAGCCCCAACAAAAGTTTGTCTTAGGACAAATTCCTTCCAATGGGGTGTGTGTGTGTGTGTGTGTGTGTGTGTGTGTGTGTGTGTGTGTGTGTGTGTGTGTGTTATAGGCATCTGGATGCATATTGTATTTGACTCTTTTTAAAAAGTAGCACCTTGTGATGTGGATTCAGTTATGAAAACTGAAAAAAAAAAAAAGATGTAGTGGTAGGTTTTACAAAAGCTGTGTGACCAAGTTCCCTCAAAATAGCTGGATATGGTAGAAAAAACATGAGTTTTTATTTACAGTGACCCAGGTTTACATCCCAATTGCCACTTGTTAACTGTCTAATTTTAAAAGTTACCTCTCTCTATTCATTATTCTTCCTCCTTAATTGGGATAGTGATGATAATTTCTTCCTCTCTTCATACTTCCATATGTCATTTCTTTCCAATCATTTATCCTTGGTGTTGCTCCAAATATATTATGAAAATAAAGCCTTAATGATTCAAGATCTTCAAATTCATCTGTCAGATATACAGAGTATTTTGCAGTTTAGCTATTTCTTGTACCTCTGCAGCTTTTTTCTATTGCTCCTTCATCTTGAAACTCCCAAAATCACCACCTGAGAAAGTGTTGTCTTTTGTAGCCATAACTTTCTCTCTAAGCTTGCCCTAAAATATTTGTCCATCAGTGTTCTACTATCCTGTCAGATCTATCCATGCAACTTCTTTAAGAATCACTTCTAGGCCATTGTTTTTTCTATATTTGTTGCTATTTATTAGATCAAGACAGTATGCCTTGAAACACTGTCTACAACATTGACTAGTTTGAGACCCTAGAATTTAGAAATTATGACACATACAAAGCCATATTTGTGTCACTTGCGGTGTTTGGTCAACTGATTTGTCCATAGTAAATCCTCAAGATACAGTTTTTCTTGGGTAAACTTTGCATCGATTTAATCATTGCCCTTAAAGTAGGATAAATTGTTCTCAAATTAAATCTCATTCCACAGCTGATCTCCCTAAACTCACTGGGGACTACTTGCTTCACCACTGACAAGGCAGAAAAAAAAGAACTTATTAAATGCATTTGGTCAAGTTAGTTAAAGTTGTTTTGGCCCAAGCAGTCTATAGTTTTTGTTCTCAAATATGTGGCTCAGCCTGACCTATGTCCAGGGATTTTTAAATGGAAATTCTCAAAATAATACTGAGCTATTATTCCAAGTTCTCAGGGAATCGAAAATATTGATGTTACACTAAGCAATTATGTATGTCATGGAGAGGTCTTTTATTAGAACATGACTGGCACTTTGATTACCTGAGCTTTCTCAACTGGCTTGAGCTTTAAAATATTAGTTTAATATGTTTTCTGTGTTTATTTGCCATTTTTTCTGACATTAATAACAACTTATAATATTCACATAAGTATGTTAAATCTTGCTTTAATATATAATATAGTGTAGCACATTCAGTAGGGGCCAATAATCCTTTGACTGAAGCTGGAATTCAGAAGCATCAATATTGTATATGTGAACTCTCCTCTTACCTTTCCCAGATCAGAAATAAATTTATATGTACATTTATATAAATATGAATGCTCATATTTCCTCTGCTGCATTCACTTGTGTCAATTTTATTTTTACCATGAAGATAGACAACTAAATGAATCTATTTCCTTGAATGACTCAAATATAGACATTTTGTTAAAAGACAGACATGTATTTTCTTGACATCCAGACCAGATCACACCTCAAATTACCCAAAGCCCATTCATTTAGTTTTCCTGTCTTTACTTTTACCTCTAGGACCTGCAGTAGATATATGAATGACGTAAGTATTGCTTTCCAAGTCTTTCTGAACAATTGACTATGAATGACATAAACCAATCATTTGAATTCTTTATTTAGTATTAATATTTGCTTCTTCAAGCTTTTTCTATAATTACATCCAGATAATAAGTACTATATTTCTTCTCAAGAAGACTTAAAAATGGTTAATACCATGTCTCAGCTACATGGAGAGCTTCAGGAAAAAATAATTCACATTATAGTGTATTAAATATGTGGCTTCTTCTCTAAAATGAGGATTAAAAACTGGATAGTGGAAATAGCCTTTTGATGGGATATGAACTGGGTACACAGGTATGAGGGAAAAGGAAAAGTAGAACCAACATACATTTAGTGACAAAATTGGGCTATGGAAGAGGCAAGACTAATCACAGCCTGTAAGATGTCACCTACACTCAAAATTATTTTGTAATATCAATTTTCCATCATTTACAATATATTCCCCATTTTAAACTACTTAAGGATTCCCTTTGAAAAATCCATTATTAGATATCAGCAATGATCTATAATACGGTTTGAAGAAGAACACTTAGAAAAGAATGTTGATACTTGTTATGATGATAAAATATTAATACTAATTAATATTTGTACTTATCAGGAACATTCCTACAGATTATATACTTTAAGCATTATGTCCTCTTTGAATATATTCATATAATTTGTGTTATGTTAAAACCGTTAAGAATAGAAAAATGTTCCCTTGAAGTGTGTGGATTAAAAGGGCTTGAAAGACAGACCTAGAATATTCTGGTGAAATTATTGGACTCCAAAGCTAATACAAACTATTATAAGGGTCCAAATAGAAGGAAAAGCTGCTTAAAAAAGTGATCTTATAAACATCTCACTTCTCACCTGAAATCTTGAATACCAAAATCACTAGAAAGCTATATGCATGCCAATGAGAGAAAGGGTAAAAACTCTATACCCACCAAGATATCATTGATACCTCAAAGTAAGTAAAATACATTTTAAGGAATGTAAGAATTTATATAAATTATTTACAAATGTGAGAAGGACTGTTTATTATGAGTATTAATTCCCTGAAGTTTCAAGTATTGTAGAAAGTAAAAGTCATAACATGAAAGTATTCACCAGGTAAATGAATCATGTACAAACTTAATCACATCATTTTTCAAGTAATTTGTAATTTTGTGAGTTGAATAGCTATGTTTATAAAATATAAGTATTGCAAATTTTAATGTGTTTATATATTTATATTTAATTTATATATATAATAACCTGATTCCTCATTTATATTTAGAGAAGGTAAACAGCAGCTTGTTATCACTGATTTCTTTAAATAGAAGCAAGCCAACTGTAGTTGGGAAAATTGAAAATTTTAAATGTATGAAATATTTAAAACACACACACACACACACACACATATATATATATACACACACAAGTACATATACATACATTTCAGGAATATAGTACCAATGGCAAACATAGAGGAAAAAACATTACTAATAAGTAGAAATGTTTTCTCTGTGCAGCGTTTTCCCCTCTCCTGCCTACAGGCAATGGTATACCTGAAGGTAGTTTCTATCATCAGGTGTCTTTTTAAAAAATAGTTTATAGTTTTGTGTCTCAGAAGATATACAGTATGGCATCACATATTTTGAAAGTTTTTATAAATGGTAGCATGATATACACATACATGTCTAAAATTTATGGTATTACAACTGAGAAGGCAATTACAAGTTTCAGGGTATTAACATCTTTTTTACTAAATATTGTCAAATCACTTTTGTGGCCTCTTTTTTCTTAGTGGTTTATGTGAGTATTTTTTAAGACTTGCCATTAATGCTCTCCGTGTATATTTGGAAAAGATCTACCTCTTAGTGTACAAAGTACCATTTGTATTTGAAGAAAACTTTTTAACATCAATATAGTGAAATTTGTTCAAATGATATGCCTGGAAAGTGTACTGGACTGTACAATTTTTAAAATCTTCCTTGCTTTTCAGTACTTTGATGATATTGTTCCATTGTCTTCTGGCTTTCCTTGGTACTGTTGTAAAGTTTACTTTCAGTTGTAGTAGTTTCTTTGTAAGCAGTCTTTTCTTTTTTACATTTAATATCTTCTGTTTTTGTTTTTTGAGATGGGATCTCATTCTGTCACCCAGGCTGGAGTGCAGTGGAGCGATTATGACTCACTGCAGCTTCGAACTCCTGGGCTCAAGCGATCCTCCAGCCTTAGCCTCCAGAGGAGCTGGGACTACAGGTGTGTGACACCAAGCCTAGCTAATTTGTGTAATTTTTCATAGAGATGGGGATCTCCCCATGTTGCCTAGGCTGGTCTTGAACTCCTGGTTTCAAATAATCCTCCTGTCTTGGTCTCCAAAAATGCTGGGATTATAGGCATGAGCCACCTCACCAGACCCTCTTTACATTTTTTATAGTCTGCCTTTATAATGCTTAGGCATGGGCTTTTTATTTATACCAGAGTTCTACCAAGCCAGAATGGCTTCAGGTTAACTGGGGGTGGCAGTAGCTTGTGGTTTCTGAATCATTTAAGTGGTATATATATAACTTCAAATGAATGTGAGGGAAGACCTGTGGTTAACAAATCTGAGAAGCTGCATCTTACCATTTAAAAGAAAGGTACATCATCTGAGTTCCTCATTTGCCTTTGTTTGTTTAGGAATGATTTATTTTAGTACATCCTTTCAATGATGGCAAATATATTTGTGGTTCTTAGCTTTATGTTCCACTTTTCTCTCCATCTTTCATTATTGATTCTTTTACTTCTTTGACTTTTGTGGCTGCTACCAATCCTGTATAGTAGAGAAATTTGTAAATTTGCCCATTACTCCAGTGTAACATGATAATTTTATCCTTCCTCATCAATTTTTGTCCCTTTTCTTGAACCAAAATTATGGTGTTAGTATGTTATATTTTACTAGGTACTTCTATGAGTTTCATAGTAAGATTGTTCACATAATTGCATTTTGTTTGGACATGTAATTTTTGTATTTATATCCATGCACTTATTTTTTAATTAAAATTTTATTGTGATAATTGTAGAGTCACATGAATTGTAAGAAATAATACCAACAGATCTTGAAAAACCTTACCCAGTTTTCACCAATAGTAATAATTGTAAAAACTATGATTCAATATCACAATTAGGATGTTGATAGTAATACAAACCAACATTAAGGTTTCAATATCCCTGTTTTACTTGTGCTCATGTGTACAGTATTAGCGTGTGTTTAATTCTACACAATTGTGTCACTATCGGTGGAACCAGCCCCAAATATTTCAATGTAGGTTCTTTTCTATTTTTCCCTAAGTGTCGGCCGGTCTGAGAAATAAAGGGAAAGAGTACACAAGAGAGAAATTTTAAAGCTGGGTGTCTGGCCAGGCACGGTGGCTCATGCCTGTAATCCCAGCACTTTGGGAGGCCGAGGCAGGCGGATCACAAGGTCAGGAGATCAAGACCATCCTGGCTAACAAAGTGAAACTCCGTCTCTACTAAAAAAAAAAAGCTGGGTGTCTGGGGTAGACATCACATGTCAGCAGGTTCCATGATGCCCCCTGAGCCGCAAAACCAGCAAGTTTTTATGAGCGATTTTCAAAGAGGAGGGAGTGTACGAATAGGGTGTGGTTCACAGAGATCACCTGCTTCAAAGGCAATAAAATATCACAAGGCAAATGGGCAGGGCAAGGTCACAAGGCCAGGGTGAAACTAGAATTGCTGATGAAGTTTCATGTACCACTGTGCAAGCGCTGTCATTGATAAACATCTTAACAGGAAATAGGGTTCAAGAGCAGAGAACTGGTCTGACTAGAATTTGCCAGGTTGGAATTTCCTAATCCTAGCAAGCCTGAGGGCGCTGCAGGAGACCAGGGCATGTTTCTTCTGCATAAAGCAGACACTCCCAGAGCGGCCATTTTAGAGCCCCCCGCTCACCCCACCCCGGGAGTGCATTCTTTTCCCAGGGCTGTTAATTATTAATATTCCTTACTGGGGAAAGAATTCAGCGATATTTCTCTTACCCATTTTTGGTAATAAGAGAAATACTACTCTGTCCTGCCTGGCTCCCAGGCAGTCAGAACTAATGGTTATCTCCCTTGTTCCCTGAACATCGCTGTTATCCTGTTTTTTTTTCAAGGTGCCCAGATTTCATATTGTTAAAAAACACGTGCTTTATGAACAATTTGTGCAGTTAACACTATCATCACAGGGCCCTGAGGAGATGTACATCCTCAGCTTACGAAGATGACGGGATTAAGAGATTAAAGATGGGCATAGGAAATTATCAGAGTATTGATTGGGGAAGTGATAAATGTCCATGAAATCTTCACAATTTATGTTCTTCTGTTGTGGCTTCAGCTGGCCCCTCCATTCGGGTTCCCTGACTTCCCACAACATGTCACTTGTATAGATTCATATATACATTATCATATTCAAGATATAGAACAGTTTCATCATCACACTGATCCTTCTTTTTGTCCTTTTATAACCACACCTGACTCTCCCAATTCTTTTCCCTTTCTCTCCTTCACTCATCTTTAACCCCTGTATACCACTTTTCTGTCCTTCATTTCTAAATGTAGCTTGTCTTTCCATCCTCTTTACCTGGTCTTATGTATAGAAAGGTGTTTGTGTCTAAGAAGTACAGTTCATCAATTATTTCTCTTATGAACTGTTTTTGGTATCAGTTCTTAGAATTTTATTTATTTCTAATCCAAAACAATTCCTCCTACATTTTTGTTTCACATTTGATCTAAGAGTTAATTTTTTAATAAAGCATGAAATTTCTATTGAGGAAATTTTCAAAATTTTTTTTTGCGTATGCATGTCCAATTGCTCTACTACCATTTGAAAAGACTAACTTTGTTTCAAATTGCTTTTGCACATTGATATAAAAAGTCACTTGAATGTGTTCATGTGTGTCTATTTGAGTTTTCTATTCTTTTCACCTATGTGTCTATCCTGCCCAAACCACACTTTCTTGATTATGCTTACTTAGGTATTTAGTAAGTCTGAAAAATAGGTAGAGAAAAATCTTACCATCTTCCGTGTCAATATTTTCTCTTTTTTTACCCCTTAAATTCTAGGCTCTGTGCCATTCTTGATAAATTTTAGAAGACTGTCTATGTCCACAAATATGCTAGAATTTTAATAGAAATTGAATTAGGCTTGTAGAATTCTTTGGGGGCAATTCACATCTTTATTATATGAGTCTTTCAATCAATGAACAAAATGTATCCATTCATTTTAGTGTCTGAGTTGCTTCATCGGAATTTTATAAAATTTAGTATACAGGTCTTGCAAATATTTTATTAAATACATAACATATACTTTGTCAAGCATTCCATTTCCTTTGGAGTGATTATAAATTGTATTGTGTTTTTAGTTTGGACTTCTGCATATTCATTGTTCCTATGTAAAATTATAAACAACATTGATTTTTGTGGGTTGATGAGTCTTTGCATTGTTAAACTCATCAGCTTTTTAAATCTAAATTTCTTTGAATTTTATTTATAGAATATCATAATATATGCATATATTATGCATACAACTATCATATATGTGTACACTATGCATACAATTATAATGTATGCACCTAATGAGACCCACCCATTAACTTTGTAGTACACATCCCCTGAGGACTCTTGCATCTAGCCCATGAACACCTATAGAACTCCTCCCATCCTATTCCCATGTAGCTACCACCCTGGGTATGCTCTGTACAAGCAGTTCACACAAGCCTCCACAGGTCATGTATTAGCACACACACAGACAGGTAGACTCTGCTGGATTGGGAGAAGCAGCTTAACATTGAGTGCTTCAGGACACTGCACTAGGGAAAATTAATGGGAGGCTCTTAGCACTCAGCCTGACCTTGAGGGAAAAAGCATACAATCCTAACAGTCTTTACCCCACCCCACTTTCCCAAGAGAAAACAGGAGGAGTGGAGCAGGTACATTCCTAAAAAAAGAAAAATCTGAGATACTCTTAGAACCCACAGGCAGGCCTACTGGTGAATGCCTTTCTTTTCTGAAGCCAGCAAGCGATGACTGGAGGAGATGGATGACTGCTTCTTCAAACACACAAAAAATCAAGGAAAAATGTCACCACCAAAGAAACAATTTTCCATAATTGAAAACATTATTGCTATAATTATTATCTTGAAACAACTATTATCTGCTAGATCAATTAGCAGTAAGAAAAACATTTCCTTACCTTTTCTTTTCTCCAGTGCTCTTCTTTTCTTTATGTTGATCTGAATTTCTGACCTTTATAAAATTCTTTCTCTATGAAGAACTTTTTTGAGACAGAGTGTCTCTCTGTTGCCCAGGCTGGAGTGCAGTGGCGCGATCTTGGCCCACCACAACCTCTGCCTCCCAGGTTGAAGTGATTCTCCTGCCTCAGCCTCCTGAGTAGCTAGGACTACAGGCATGAGACACCATGCCCAGCTAATTTTTGTATTTTTAGTGGACACGGGGTTTCACTATTTTGGCCAGGCTGGTCTCGAACTCCTGACCTCGTAATCTACCTGCCTTGGCCTCCCAAAGTGCTGGGATTACAGGCGTGAGCCACTGCGCCTGGCCTCTCTGAAGAACTTTTAACATTTCCTGAAAAATAGGTCAACTAGCAAGAGATTCTCAATTTTTGTTTGAGAAAGTTTTTATTTCTCTCACTTTCGAAGGATAATTTTGCAGGGTACAGAACTCATGATTGGTGGTTGATAGGGTTTTGCTCTGTGTCCCCATCCAAATCTCCTCTCAAATTGTAATCCCCATGTGTTGAGGGAGGGACCTAGTGGGTGGTAATTGGATCACGGGTGTGGTTTCCCCCATAGTATTCTCATGATAATGAAGGAGCTCTTAGGAGATCTGAGGGTTTTAAGACTGGCAGGTTTTCTCTGTGGGCACTCTCTCTCTCCTGCTGCCATGTAAAATTGCCTTGCTTCCTGTTTCCTTCCTCCATAATTGTAAGTTTCCTGAGGCCTCGCCAGCCATGCAGAACTGTGAGTCAATCAAATCTCTTTTGTTTATAAATTACCCAGTGTGAGAACTGAGTAACACAGAGAATTACTACTGGCAGAGTTGGGTACTACTATAAAAATAACCTGAAAATGTGGAATCAACTTTGGAACTGGGTAACAGGTAGAGGTTTGAATAGTTTGGAAGGCTCAGAAGAAGACAGGAAGATGTGCAGAAGTTTAGAACTTCCTAAAGCCTTGTTGAATGAAAGGTTTTGACCAACATGCTGATAGTGATATGGAAAATGAAGTCCAGACTGAGGTAGTCTCAGATGGAGATGAGGAACTTATTGGAAACTTGAGCAAGTTCACTCTTGCTATACTTTGGCAAGGAGACCGGTGGCATTTTGCCTCTGCTCTAGAGATCTATGGAGCTTTGAACTTGAGAGAGATGATTTAGGGTATCTGGTAGAAGAAATTTCTAAGCAGCAAAGCATTCAAGAGGTGACCTCATTTGTACTAAAAGCACGCAGTTTTATGCAGTCATAAAGAGATGATATGAAATTGGAATGTATGTTTAAAGGGGAAGGAGAGTGTAAAAATTTGGAACATTTACAGCCTGTCCATGTAAAAGGAAAAACCCATTTTTTGGGGAGGAATTCAAGGCTGCTGCAGAAATTTGCATAAGTAACAAGGAGCCAAATATTAATCACCGAGACAATGAGGAAAATGTCTTCAGGGAATGTCGGAGATCTTTGTGGCAACCCCTCTGTTCACTGGCCTGGAGACCAAGGAGGAAAAAATGGCTTCATGAGCTGGGCTGAGGGCCTTGCTGCTCTGTGCAGCCCTGGGATATGGCACCCTGCATCCCAGCCGCTCTAATTCCAGCCATGGCTAAAAAGGGCCAAGGTATAGCTTGGGCCATTGCTTCAGAGGGTGTAAGCCCCAAGCATTGGTGGCTTCTATGTGGTGGTGGGCCTCTGGGTGGGCAGAAGAAATGGGTTGAAGAACCTCTGCTAGGGCAGTGCAGAAGGGACATGTGGGGTTGGAGTCCTCCAACATAGTTCCCACTAGGGCACTGCCTATTGGAGCTGTGAGAAGATGGCCACTGTCCTCCAGACTGCAGAAAGACAGATCCATTGACACGGCTTGCACCATATACCTGGAAAAGCCACAGAAACTCAATGCCAGCCCATGAAAGCCACCAGGGGTGATGTACCCTGAAGAGCCATAGGGGCAGAGCTTCCCAAGGCAGTGGGAGCCCTGGATGGCAGACATGGAGTCAAAGGAGATTTCAGAGCTTCAAGATGTAATGACTGCCCGGCTGGGTTTCAGACTTGCATGGGACCTGGGGCCCCTTTGTTTTGGCCAATTTCTCCTATTTAGAATGGGAATGTTTACCCAGTGTCTGTACCCCCATTGTATCTTGGAAGTAACTAACTTGCTTTTGGTTTTACAGGTCCATAGGCATAAGGGACTTGTCTTAGACGAGACTTTGGACTTGGACTTTTGGGCTGATGCTAGAATGAGTTAAGACTTTGGAGAACTGTTGAGAAGACATGGTTGGTTTTGAAATGTGAAGAGGAGATGTGATTTTGGAGGGGCAAAGGTGGAACGGTAATGGTTTGGCTCTGTGTCCCCACCCAAATCTCATCTCAAATTGTAATCCCCATGTGTTGAGGGCGGGACATGGTCATGGTGGGAGGTGATTGGATCACGGGGGCAGTTTCCCCCGTGCTGTTCTCATGATAGTGAGGGAGCTCTTATGAGATCTGATGGTTTTACTAGTGGCAGTTTTCCCCTGAGTGCTCGATCTTTGTTCTGCCACCATGTAAGACTGCCTTACTTCCCATTCTCCTTACTCCATGATTGTAAATTTCCTGAGGCCTCTGCAGACATATGGAACTGTGAGTCAAACCTCTTTTTTTATAAGTTACCCAGTCTCAGGTAGTATGAACTAATAAAGTGAGTTTTTTTGGTGTATTATTATTATTATTTGAGATGACAGCTTGCTCTGTGGCCCAGGTGGAGTGAAGTTGCATGATCTTGGCTTATTGCATTACTGCAACATCTGCCTCCCAGGCTCAAGTGATCTTCCCACCTTGGCCTTCTGAGTAGCTGGGACTACAGGCATGTGCCACAATGCCAGCTAATTTTTGTACTGTTAGTGGAGATGTGGTTTCGCCATGTTGCCCAGGCTGTTCTCAAACTCCTGGGCCCAAGTGATCGCCTGCCTCAGCCTCACAAAGTGCTGGGATTACAGGTGTGGCAGGCTTTTTCTTTGTTTTTTTTTTTTTTTTTCTTCTCTCTCAACACTATAAATATTTCACTCCATACTTGTCTTCTTGTTGCCATGCTTTCTGAAAAGTCAGATGGAATTCTTATTTTCACTCCTCTGTAGGTAAGGTATTGTTTTCCTCTGGCTTCTTTCAATATATTTTTTTCTTTGTCTTTGATTTTTCTCAAGTTTGAATATGACATACATGCCTGAGTGTAGTTTATTTTTGGCATTTATCTTGCTTGGTGTTCTCTGAGCTTCCTGGGTCTTATGAGGTTTAGGGCATTAATTTGGTGAAATTTTTAGTCATTATTCGTCAAATATTTTTTTTCTTACTGTCTCTTTCTTCTCCTCCTGGTATTCTAATTTTGCACATTTATACCTTTTGTAGTTGTCCCACTGTTATTGACTAATTTTTTTTTGCAGTCTTTTTTTTTCTTTTTTGAAGTTCCTAATGTCATATTTTCAAGCTGAGTCATTCTTTCTTCAGCCATGCATAGTCATAATAAACCCAACAGAGGCTTTTTTTAATATTAGATTATTCTTGGAATTTGCACCTCTTTAGTTATATTATCCAGTTATTCTATATGTTGTCTACTTTGGCTATTAAAGAAGTTAGAATATTTAAGTTTTTTAAAAAACTTAATCTGATGATTCCAATATTTCTATCTTTTTTTTTTTTTTTTTTTTTTTTTTTAAGACAGAGTCTCACTCCATCACCCAGGATGGAGTGCAGTGGCATGATCTAGGCTCAGTGCAACCTCCGTTTCCTGGGTTCAAGTGGTTCTCATGTCTCAGTATCCCAGGTAGCTGGGATTACAGGCAACTGCCATCATGCCTGGCTAATTTTTGTATTTTTTTTTTTTTTTTTTTAATAGAGATGGGGTTTCTCCATGTTGACCAGGTTGGTCTCGAACTCTCAACCTCAAGTGATCAAGACATGTCTCAGTGCTGGGATTACAGGCATGAGCCACTGTACTTGGCCTGCCATATTTGACTGTGGTTCTGATTCTTGTTCAGTCTCTTCAGACTATATTTTTCTGCCTTTTAATATGTCCTGTAGTTTTGGTGTTTGTTGGGGAGGAGGACAGGGAGTCAGAGTGTACTAGAACAAAGGTGGTACGGTATATAGGCCTTTAGTAATGGAGTGTTAAGGTTTAGGGGAAGGGGAAATGTTCTATAGCCCTATGATTAGATCTCTGTCTTTTGATGTGTCTGTGCTCCTGGACTGTGAAGTCATCAGCACTTTTCAGTTATTTTTGCCCCTCCTCCATCACCGCTTAGGCTAGACAGGATGGCTGGAGAGGACTAGCTGGGGTTGAATACTTTATTTCTTCCACATGAAATGCTAGAGCCAGCTGGATTAGGATATTTCTTTTCCTCCAGGTGGATCAGGCTCTGGTTAAATAGTTTCTCCTAAGGTAAGGCCTTGTTAAGAAGAACAGAATGCTCTGGTATATTTCAAAATTATTCATTTTTCCCTCCACATCCTGGGGTCATGAGGGTGTTTTTTTGTTATTGTTGTTGTCGTTATTTTTATTTACCTATTTTTTTTTTGTGATACTCACTGTGAGGACCTGGTAGAACCCCTGAAGGTAAAACTCACAAAAGTACAACACCTCCCATCCTCCATGACTGGGTCCCCTTGGAGTATTTAACTCTCAGCGTGTCAATACTGAGTACTGAGCATCCAGAATTTATCTATTATAGTTCAGGCTTTCTTACCCCAGCACTGGTTCCCATGGAAGTTTTTGATCATACATTTCTGCTCCATGAAGTTGTGATTCTCTGTACCTGCCTGTCTCTCTCTCCAATTTTTGGCACAGTGGTTTGCCCCATGATATCACTTCTTTGACAGATCTAAAAAGAGTTGATGTTTTTTTCAGTTTGATAAGATTTCCTCTTATTTTGAAGATGGAGTAGGCACTTCTAAGCTCCTTACATGTGAGACCATGAAATGGAAGTCTAAGTTTACCTTAAAAAATTATTTTCTTTATGCTGAGTTTATTCCTTTACCCAATCTTAAAGATAGATTTTTCACAGACAAATTGTATTAATTTTTCTTTTTCTGCATCCTTATTTCTTTTTCATTTCTTAAAGACGAGTTTTCTGGTTAAAGAATTCTATGTTGAAAGTTATTTCAGCACACAAAAAATTCTGTACCTCTTTGTTCTGGCCTCCATGATTTAAGGTGGGAAATCTGTCATTCAATTTGATGTTCTCCTGTAGATAATGTGTCATTTCTCTCAGGGACATTTCAAGACTTTTTTGTCTTTGCTTTTCAAAGCAAATTTTGATGTGTCTTGTTTTTTGTTTCCATTTGTGGTTTGCTCAGCTTCTTGAATCTGTAGGTTTGTCTTCTGCCAAATTTGAAAAGTTTTCATCTATTACTTATTTGGATACTTTCTTCTCTCCTAGGATTTTGATGCTGTACATAATTAATCTTTCTTGCAGTTCCATAGTTTCCTGAGGCTTTGTTTTTTTATTTTTAGTCTCTTTTTCAGTGTTGTTTAGATTTTGAAAATTCTATTGATCTATCCTCATGTTAATTATTGCCACTGTAATTTGAGCCCACTGAGCACATTTTAAAATTTATGTTTTTTTAATTCTATGTTATTTGGTTCTTGTTAATAATTTCTATTTCTTTGTTGAAATTTCAATTTTGTTTGGAGATAATTTGAAACTGAAGCATTTTATGATGGCTACCTTAAAATCCTGGTCAGATAATCCCATCATTTGGTTTCATCTTAGTGTTGGTGTCAGTTGATTTTCTTATTCAAGTTGTGATTCCTGGTTCTTACTATAATTTTTAAAAATTGTATCCTGGACATTTCTTCTATAACATAAGAGGTCTCTGGGTTCTATTAAACTATTTAGCAGACAATAACCCTGTTTAGATATAGTATGAAGATTCTGGACTGGTATTGTTACAACATTCTTTTATCTGGGGAAGAATGAAGCTACCTTGGCTGCCTTTTTGTTGTTGTTGTTCTAGGTTGGAGTAAGAAAACACCAGGCCCTCTGTCACCTTCTGCTACTGCTTAGAAAGTAAACATTTAAAATTAAATGTAAACATGTTTAAATTAAACATTTATTTAATGTTTGTAGCAAGTAATTTTTGTGTGACTTCCAGGTACCCAGTACTGCAGTACTGTTTCAGCATGCTAGCATATATAAGCAAGTAAGGTTGATAAAAGAAATATATTTTCATATGAGGCGAAATGGGCTTGGTGCGGTGGCTCATGCCTATAAGCCCAGCAGCAGTTTGGGAGGCCGAGGCGGGCAGATCACTTGAGGGAAGGAATTCAAAACCAGCCTGGCCAATGTGGTGAAACCTCATCTCTACTAAAAATACAGAAAGTTAGCTGGGTGTGGTGGTGCGTGCCTGTAGTCCCAGCTACTTGGGAGGCTGAGACATGAGAATCACTTGAACCAAGGACGTGGAGGCTCCAGTAGGCCAAGATTGCTCCACTGCACTCCAAAGCAAGACTCCATCTCAAAAAAAGGGGATGGGGAGAATATACAGAAAATTGGATAATTTAAGATATTTTCTCAAGTTGACATAACTGGTGTTACCAGAGACATTGCTGAAGTAAAATAATAGTTTTTTTATTACAGAATTACAGTACATGACTAGTGTTGTAGGGAAAAGTGTCAGTGTGTTCAATTGCAGAGTTAAATAGTTTAAAAATATTTGCTCTTAGAAGTGATTCTTAATTTTGTGAAATATCTGTTAACGGTTTATATACTCATCGGGAAGACTACACAAACTAAATTGAACTATCATTCTCAAAAAATTAAACAGATAAAACATCCAAGTGTACTGTCTTGTTATGATACAAAAGTAAGAACTATTAAAATGGAAAATTATCAAGGTCTTCCTATATCTACTAAGGATCATATTATCAAATATATTACTCAATTTTTTCATCTTCTCTGTATTAACTCAATTCTGAAATCAGAATAGCTAATTTGAATGCTAGCTTCAAAGGCTGTCTAATAAATATAAATTTTAGCTTTCTAAGCTCTGTACAATACTTACTACAGAGAAGTTGCTGATAAGAAGAAATATAGTCAGAGAGCCAAATCCACATTTTTTTTAAACCTGAGCAAAGAAGTTAGTTTATTACCTTTTGATGGTTGCTGGCTACTACTGAAATTCAGAAAATAGAATGTATGGATTGCAGTAGAATGGAAGTGATTAATTGAGGCTTTACTAGTTTTGGGTCTTAGATCATACATAACATTTTAGTATGCGACAGCAAGGACATATTCTCATAATGTTTTCTTCATAGAAGAAATACTTTTTATATGCTGAGTTGAATTAAATTTCACTTTAAGTCGAGAAAAGTGAAATAATAATGTTTGTAAATGTAGAAACCAGAATGACCTTTTGCAATAGATAATGGAGAAAACAGTTTAGGGGAAAAAAACCTAAAAATCAGTTCATTAATGTATAAACAATGTGTCAGAGCTCCAAAGGGAGAGGGCTCCACAGATGTGAAGAGGGTCACCATTGAGTCTACAGCTGAGTACTAATTAGTGAAGTAGATAATAAAGCTATATAACGCTGGAGAAAGAGAAAGAAACATCCAGAAGAATTAGAGGAAAGAAATCCCCTGAAGTCCTAAGGGAAAAGGAAAAAATGCTATTCTCACCCAAAATGGCCCAAACCTTCATAAACCACGTAATGTTGAACAAAGTATTTAAAGAGATTTTGGCAAAGTAGTGGCACACACTTATCTCTAGACCAGACACTCCTCTAGTTCTACCAAATAATGGTTAAAAGAAATATGACAAAGAATGTAACTGTTTCCAAGTAACTTAACTGTCTACCAGAATTAAGCACAAAATTAAAATAAAAAATACAAAACTATCAAGCAAATAACAAAGTAAAATACAACATCAGGAAAATAGGACCCACAAGGGATAGATACTTAAAAAAAGGAAAGTAAAACTGGTATTGTCTAAGATGCTGTAGGAAAGTCAAAATATTAAGCAAAAATTTGAAAAATAGATAAACAAAGGAGACATAGATTTAGACATAGAAACTACAATGACTAAGATAAAAAAATAACCTGGTTGGGATTAATGCCACATTAGACAATGCAGAAAACAAGTTTAATAAACTTCAATAGGGAGAAAAAGACTTAAAAATAGAGTATCAGTGATCTGTGTAAAACTTCCAATGACCTTATATATATATATAATAGGAGTCCCCGAGTGGAATGGGGCTGGAGACTGGAGAAAGTATTTAAAGAAATAATGACTAAAATTTCCAAATTTTACTAATATAAACTCTTATATCCAAGAAGTACAATGAAACCAATGCAGAATAAACACGAAGAAAACTATACCAAGTCATATCATAATCAAATTGCTAAAAACTATAGTAAAGAGAAAATTTAATGTGGTGAAAACCTGTTAAATAGAGGGGAAAAAAGATCAGAATGATAGCAGATGTCTCTTCCTTTAATAATGCAAAAGACATCTACAAACTTTTTTGAAGTACTGAAAGTTAAAAGCTGTCAGATTAAAATCTATTATCTTTTGAAAACATATTTCAAAACTGAGATTTGAGGAACCTCTATTCTCTATAGTGGCTGTATTAGTTTACATTCTCACCAGCAGTGTACAAACAACCCACGGGTATATAAACAACCGACGTATATTTGTTTTTGTCTTTTTGATAATAGCCACCCCAACTGGAATGAGATGATACCTCATTGTGACTTTGATTTTCATTTCCCTGATGATTAGTGACGTTGATAATTTTTAAATACATGAGTTGGCCGTTTGCGTGTCATCTTTTGAGAAATGTGTGTTCAGATCATTTGCCCGTTTTTTCTTTTTTTAATTTTTTTGAGACAGAGTCTTGCTTTGTTGCCCAGGCTGGAGTGCCATGCATGGTCTTAGTTCGCTGTAACCTCTGCCTCCCAGGTTCAAGCAATTCTCCTGCCTCAGCATCCTCAACAGCTGGGATTACAGACATGTGCCACCATGCCCAGCTAATTTTTGTATTTTTAGTAGAGACAGGATTTCACCACGTTGGCCAGTCTGGTCTTAAACTCCTGACCTCGAGTGATCTGCCCACTTCGGCCTCCCAAAGTGCTGGGATTCTAGGCGTAAGCCACCATGCTCAGCCCATTTGCCCATTTTTAAATTGAATTGTTTAGTTTTTTTGGCTATCAACGGTTACGTTTTTGTATATTTTGTATATTTATCTCCAGTCAGATGACAAGTTTACAAATATTTTCTTCCATTCTGTAGGTTGTTCTTCCACTCTGATTGTTTCCTTTGCTGTGCTGAAGCTTTTTAGCTTAATATAATCTATTTATTTTTGCTTTTGTTACCTGTGCTTTTGAGGTCTTATTCATAAAATCTTTTTGCAGACCAATGTCCTGAAGTATTTCCCATATGTTTTCTTCTAGTAGTTTTATGGGTTTGGGTTTTACGTTTAAGTCTTTAATCCATTTGAGTTTTTTTTTTTTTTTTTTGTATGCTGAGAGGGTCTAGTATGATTCTTCTGTGTATGAATGTACAGTTTTCTCAGCACTACTTACTGAGAAGAGTGTCCTTTCCCCAATGTACGTTCTTGGAATCTTTGTCAAAAATCAGTTGGCTTGTAGACATGAAGATTAATTTCTAGACTCTCTATTCTGTTGCACTGGGGGGCTATGTGTTTGTTTTTATGCCAGTACCATATTTTGATTATAGCTAAATAGAAGAATAAGTTCTAGCGTTCTATAGCACTGTAAGATTACTAGAGTTGAGATTAATATGTTATACAGCTTCAAATAGGTAGAATGAGGATATTGAATGTTCCCAAAACAAAGAAATGATAAATGTTTGAGAGGATTGATAGGTGAATACTTTTATCTGATCACTATAAATTGTATGTATCAAAACATCACTTTATACCTCCTAATATATATACACACAATTATTATGTGTTAATTAATAAAATATACTTTAAAATAAAAGAGAAAAAGTAAAAAGCACCCATTAGAATTTCAGGTGTGAAGGCAAAAAAAAAAAAAAAAGGCAAATGTGAATATTACAGTTCTAAAAGACAAAAGCAAACCATAAAATTGGAGTACTAATGATTCTCCCAACCATCATGAAACAAATTAAGCCTACCAAACAACCAAGATTTTAATATACTGACAGAAGTATGTGCCATTAAACTAGGGATATTATAGATTACTCTAAACAAGAAGATAATTTTACATATATTAACTAAAGAAAAACTTCTTCCTCTGAATAACAACCATGAACCAGAAGAAAACTATGGCACACCAAGGAGAAGCAAATATATATAAACAAGTGTGTAATGGTATGAAAAACTAGGAATCAGAATTACAAAAACTTAAAAACAAGCATACAAAAATTAGGAAGAAATGGAAAAGAGTTAATTGAACTCAAGATTATCTCAAATAAAATTACATGATATAGAACAGCTTCAAAAATTAATAAGTGGCAATAATCAAAGGCAAGGAAACAGAAGGAGGAAGAAACATGAGGAAGTAAAAAAGGTCGGGGGAAACAACAGACATGGAAAACTGGCAAAGAAAGCAATAGTCAAACTTTCAAAGTCCTTAAAGAAGTGAAAAAGGCAAATCTAATATTTAAAACTATAAGAAATATTTTCAGAAAATGTCTGAAATTTGGAAGGGCACATTGACTATGTGGAAAGACACAGGGTGGAGGGGATAGGGAATACGGAGACGGGAGATGTGGGGGAATGGTCTACTCTGAGAAAGAGCTAAGCAAAATACTCAGATTTGAAAAGCAAAGTTAAAATCCCCAAGGCAAATATATTACAACTTTCAGAGGCAAAAGAACTAAGCTAGCATCAGCCTTTTCAAAACCAATATCCAAAGCAAGGTAACAATGGAGCAACATTCTTCTTATTTTAATTCAGTGAACAAAGGTGAAAGATTTTATATCAAGCCATTCAGTATTTAAAATAACAGGGTTATAAGGAAAAAAAATTCAACATAAACTTAGGAAACTCTGCATCCATTATCCCTTCTTGAGAAATACACCAGAGAATGTCCCTCATTCAACAAAATGATGCCTGAGAAAACATCAGCAAAGGTCTTAATGATGAGTATCTTAAAATGTTTCCATATACATGTAAGTTCAAAACAAATAAAAAGACAAGGATGGATAGATAATTTAAAAAATTTAAATTTTTCCAGGTGTGGTAGTTCACACTTGTAATTTCAGGGTTTTGGGAGGCTGAGGCTGGAGGGTCAGTTGATCCCTAGAATTTGAGGCTGAAGTGAGCTATAATTGTGCCACTGCACTGCAGCCTGGGAGACAGAGCGAGATCCTATCTCAATCAAGTAAGTTAATGACAAGGAATACACTATACATCACAATACATGGTACATCTAAATCAGAAGTAGATGAAAATTCCTGTTACTAAAAAGTTTATTAATAATACAGAAAGAATGAAAATAAAAGTTAATATATCCCCTCACAAAAGCTAGACAAAGAAAAAAAAGTCTTTGTATCAAATGAGAATGGAGGGGATACTAATGATAAAAAAAAAAATAAAAAATAAAAAATAGAAAAACTGTGGATATAATCACCTGGGCGCGGTGGCTCACAACTGTAATTCCTGCACTTTGGGAGGCCGAGGTGGGCGGATCACGAGGTTAGGAGTTCGAGACAAGCCTGGCCAATATGATGAAACCCCATCTTTACTAAAAATACTAAAAATCAGCTGGGCGTGGTGGCGCATGCCTGTAGTTGCAAATCCTCAGGAGGCTGAGGCAGAAGAATTGCTTGAGACCAGTAGACGGAAGTTGCAGTGAGCCGAGATCATGCCACTGCACTCCAGCCTGGGTCACAGAGGAAGACTCTGTTTAAAAAACAAACAAACAAAAAAACACACCAAAACTCTAGATATAATCAATAAATCGAAGCTCAGAAGTTGCTAGCTAACTTGCTCAAGAATAAAAGAGAGAAAGCACTAGTAAAACAAAAAATGTGAAGGGGAAATAAACATTAAAAATAAGTGACTCAAAAATCATAAGACTAATATGCAGACCGTACAAATAAATATGAACATTTATAGGTAATGGTTAATTTCCTAAGAAAATAGACTATAAAAGTTGATCCTATTGAAAGATTACCTATTCTAAAAAGTAAAAATCAAATTATGGTCATTATTAAGATACTACCCCGCCAAATATCATCAGACCTACAAGACCTCAAAGAAATTCTGCCAAATATTTACAGATTAAATAATCCAAATATTATGTAAATTATTTGAGACATTAAAAAGGTAGAAGATCTTTCCAAGCCCTTCTATAAAGCATGCATAACACTGATACCTAACACTACAGACTGGTAATTCTCAGGAATATATGATGTAAATATAACAACATATATTTTGTCAGCCAAGACAATTCAACACATTGACACAGATGCTCTCATATAAAGAATGAGATCTGAGTCAGTCATGGTGGCTCATGTCTATAAATCCCAGCTACTCGGGCCAAGTCAGGAGGGTTGCTTGAGCCCAGGAGTTCAAGACAAGCTTAGGCAATACAGTGAGACTCCGTCTGTCTTTGAAAATAACAATAATAATAAGGTGGAAATCTGATCTGATCACATTCCCAGATAGTAGAAGTACATCCTCCAGTTTAGGCTGGAGAATGACATACAGTTGGGGGGTAGGAATGGGGATCCTGAGAATTGATAGAATCAGCATAAATATAACTCAGTAAAGCACCTGTGTTAACAAAACTGTTTCAGGAAATTCTTAACAAAGAAAACATGAATTTAAACCAAAGAAATTTACTGTTTGCTTCAGGAAGTTCCTGCAAACCACTTTGTCCAAGCAGTTTGCTCATCTGTACAGACACCTCTCTTATTGAAACAATAGACTGCTCACATGGGCAAACAGTCTGCTTATTAGATAACACGTATTTTATACACTTTTCAAAACAATTTGGTTTTGGTACTTTCTTCAAATTATCGAATAAACTTTGTCCAATCCATATCAGTTCCTCTCTCTGAAACACCTTCCTTAAATCACATGAGCCTAGACACACAAAAACCTGTAAATATCATTTCTCAGCCTACCTCAGAGACACTATATCAAGTTATGTTTTCCCTTGCTGCAGTAAATTTAATGAATTCAAATTTTACCAATAGGCTTCTGTGCTATACTTAAGAGAGATTCAATGGTCAATACAATGCCATTTTGAATTGTAAACAATCAACATGATAAAAGCATATATTTAATTTGAAGATTTGAAAACCAGGTACATTTGAGATAAATTTAAGATTTTGAGGCTCAAAATTAGAAATGTACAATTAAACATTTGCATATATTTGCACAGTATCATGTTCACACACATTTTCATTTTATAAGAATGATTTTTTTAACAAGTAACAGAAGCTCAAACACAAAAGGTTGGCAAATGTGTGACTTCTCTCATTACCTGATTGTTTGTCTTATAACTAGTTATATTCTTAAAAACAATTTGTTTCATTTTCTAGCTATTGAAGGCTGAAAAGAAATGTATTATTCATTTTAACTTTCTCTGTGACAATGAGAAATTCAAAAATCTCTTCGTGGCTCATAAGATAAACAGTATCAGCAATTCATGCTTTAACTATTTTTTATACTTTACCAATTAAATTATAAAGTTATTTCCATAGAAAATATTAAATATGGAAAACAACATATAACATGTCATTTCTCCTTTTCTAAATTTGTAACATTCCCTGAAAAACTTATTTACTCCAGCTATTATTACAAATGTTTGCCTGTCAATTAAGGTCATTACTGGTATGCAGATCTGTTTGTTTACAGAAATGTCTTAGGTCCTCTAGTGGCCCATCGCATATGTGCATTTTGAAAAGCAGACTTGCATTCTCCAAAATGAATCACTGGACAAAAGATGAATAAAATGATTACATTTTAAAAAATCACTCATGGTTGGGAATACCAGGATTTTTCCTGCCCATGCATCTATCAAGGAGCAGGAATACGTTGCCTGTCTAGATTAGAAAGAGTAATTACTTCAGTAACAAGAAAGAGTCCAGAAAAACATGACAACAAAAATATTATGTAAAGAAGTATATGGGAAAGGATTTTAAATATGCAAAAATAATTATCGAACATTCCCCAATAAAGTAACAGCAAGCTGTATCTCCCTGTTCAGTTTCTTGAACTGCTCAAAAATACAATGCCATCCTTTTTTTTTTTTTTTTTTTTTTTTGAGGGGGATTCTCGCATTTTTGCCTGGGTTGGTGTGCAGTCATGTGATCTTGGCTTGCTGCAACCTCCGCCTCCTGGGTTCAAGTGATTCTCCTGCCTCAGCCTCCTGAATAACTAGGATTACAGGTGCCTGCCACCATGCCTAGCTAATGTTTTGTATTTTTAGTAGATATGGGGTTTCACTATATTGGCCAGGCTGGCCTCGAACTCCTGACCTTGTGATCCGCTCACCTTGGCCTCCCAAAGTGCTGGGATTACAGGCATGAGCCGCTGCACCCGGCCGATGCCATCTTAACATTGGATGATAACATTGATATCAGCACCATTTTGTGAACTCTTACTGAGAATTTTTGGTCTGTCAAAGAGCCCTATTCAAATGATCTCTCTCATCCTTGCAATAACACTGCTAACAATCTATTATTATTTTAACCTTAATAAGGGTGAGAGAGGATAACTGTTTCCCAAGGTAACAAAGTCAGTAAAGAAACAGAAAGCATTTAACTATATATCTGTCTGATTTCAAAGCAGTTTCTCTTTTCATGATGCAACATTAATATCAGCACCATTTTGTCAACTCTTATTGAGAATTTTTGGTCTGTCAAAGAGCCCTATTCAAATGATCTCTCTCATCCTTGCAACAACACTGCTAACAATCTATTATTATTTTAACCTTAATAAGGGAGAGAGAGGATAACTGTTTCCCAAGGTAACAAAGTCAGTAAAGGAACAGAAAGCATTTAACTATATATCTGTCTGATTTCAAAGCGGTTTCTCTTTTCATGATGCTATAGTTCTCTTTTCATGATGCTATATATTCTGATGATAATGAGACATAAGGAATATACGTGGGAGAGTTAAGCTTGATGCCTTACTTTCCTTTAGTATCACGTCTGGCCCAGGTTACCCTAATTCCTTCCTTCCTTCCGTCTTTCCCTCCCTCCCTTCCTTCCTTACTGTCTTTGGTTGTCTTGTCCTTTTAACATGAATTAAATTGGCTTTGTGTTTACCTGGCCACTTCATAACTCCTATTTCAGTACCCAGCTTAAACATTTACTCAGGAAAAGCCATTTTCAGTTCTCAAGGAATGAAATCAGGTACCCTTGTAATATATACTTATAGACCCTATTTTTATCACTTGAATGATCACAAGTGTGATCATTAAGTGTTTAAAATCAATATTATTCATTAAATCCTAAGTTCCACAAAGTCAGGGATAATATGTGTCACATTTAGAGAGATAAGCCCAGTACTTTATATGATACTGGACATAGTAGAAGCTCAATAAACATTTGCTGAAAACATTAATAAAGCAATTATATTTGAAATAACCATTTAGAGAAAAGTTACCTCTCATATACACTGATTTGTCTCCTAAGTTTCTGCTTCATGAGACTGTTGTTAAGTTATAGTTAAAATACAAATAAAATGTT
This sequence comes from Homo sapiens, assembly GCF_000001405.40. Taxonomy (NCBI): domain Eukaryota; kingdom Metazoa; phylum Chordata; class Mammalia; order Primates; family Hominidae; genus Homo; species Homo sapiens. The sequence goes on along the minus strand of NC_000011.10, from coordinate 97,555,788 downwards.
AGGGTTGAAAACATATTTAAAGTTTGTGTAAAGTTCAAGTGGTTCCGTGTCAGCTATAGCATCTCTTTAAATGGTCACCTATTCTGCAATTAAACATCTTAAGTCTCAGGGAAATTCAGTATTCAAAGGAAGCCCATTGGCACATTGATATTAAGCCTCATTTACTGAATCCAGAAATAATTCGATTAAATGCACATTTACATAGCACATAAACTCATATCTAACTAATTAGCAAATTTCTGTTTTTTCAGCCACAGAGAAGTCCAGTGAACAACCAGAAAATATTAGGAATGATGTTTGTTACCCTTCTACCTGGACACAGACAATATAGATCCTTAGGTATACTCTCTGTGGATCTCCTTGACAGTTGGATGCAATTCCAACTGTGCTTCACGGAATAGTCTGTTTGCTAAAACATCAGCTGCAGCAGATTGTTCCAGCTCACTGGAATTCTATTATTTAGAGGATAATATATAACTCTAGAACAATGTTACCATTTCAAAATAGCCGTAAATTGGACTCCTCTGAGAGTACTTACATAAGGTTAAAAAAAGTAGAAAGATAGTGGTAACATCTTTTTTGTAATGGTCCAGAAACAAGAAAAAAACTCATAGTGGTTTTCATAATATTTTTATTAAATGTTGGATACATATACACACCAAAAGAAACTCTCAAATATTTGCATTGTTTATTACAAGGAATCATTTATGTTTTAAAGCTTTAATATTATCTAATGATTTAAAAATTTATTTTAATATGAAGTTCTCTTCTGAAGCATATGTGTTTAGAGTGGGAATACTCAATATTAAATAGCCATGTCATCAAGTGAAGGACCATCCTGCTTGTATTTAATGCATCCCCGTCTTCCCTGACCCACAAGTGCGAGATGCTAGCTATATTAGTCTCTCATACTGTTGGTGAATTTTTTTTGACAAAAATATTAAGAAATCTAGATTTCTTTACAATAATTGTCAGCATTTCAGCATTTTAAATAGACTTTCCTTATTCAATTGAGCTGATGGATCATCCTCCAAATTTCCTATAAATGACAAAATAGTGTTCAGCTTTTTGCAGAGAGCAATGATTATACCTGCATGCATTTGCAGTCACCACTAATTGTATGCCCATAGCAACTGGCAATATTTTCTTGCAAACACTGGCTGATGTTATTAAAACACTTACCTTACCTATAGATTCCTGTTGCCCCCCATTGTGCTTGCATTAGTTGTTTTACTGACAACGAACATTCAAGAATCTAAGTATTAAAGAGTGGCAGACAAACTCAGGGAAGATGTATGTTGATTTAGTGCCACTATAAAACACAACTGTTTGTACTCCAGAAAAGATTGGAGGTGGCAAATAAAATTCCAGATGTTTTAGAATCAAAGCTGGCATAAACTATTTACAAGATACACTTTTATATTGGTGTATCAGTATGTTCTGTTTTTTCATGTGATATCATTCTCTTTAATGGGAAATGGGAAAACAAGGCGATTAATTTGAGCCCCCAAAATATTGTTAGTATTATTGGCCAAATATTCTTAACTCTAAATTTAGGTAAATACCTTTTTAAAAAATCTCTAACAAAATATAATAGAGATTAACAATGCATCAAGAAATCACTACATTGAAAGTAAAAGTAAAATGGTGATGATAATGAAACTAATTCTATAAGGGAGAACCAAGTGACCATACATACTGAATCATTTCATAGAACACATGATAGGGCAGGTGATTTGACAAAGGAAAACTTAGCAAACTGTCTTACACTTACAACACATGCACATCCATACAAACCGTCAGATATGCCTACTTTTTCCATTTTTAATACACTAACAGCTTTTTTACCTTTATGGGAGATTTTATTTTATTGTAAATGAGGACTATAATCTTCTTCTTCTATTTTCCAAATTACTGAATACATTCTACGTTTGTCCTGAGCAAAGTTTCAGGAAACTCCGTATTGCTGTATGTATGTAGTACTCATATAATCCTCATTCTTTCAGGATAAAGGAAACAAATGCCAGCTCTGTCTTTATACATATGTTTTTATTATACGGTAGCATAAAGTAAATGCATGAGAGAATTGGAAGTAGGAGAAAAAAGAGCTGTTTTTTGTTTTTGTTTGAACTATTGACTCATTAAAATATAATCATTCAAAATAATTAAAATTATCTTTATCAGTAATTAAGGACTATATTGAACTATTGTCACGTATACTAATTTCTGTGTTCACCTTCACCAATTACTACCCAATCTTTCTGCCTGGATTCAATGTTCTTATTGTGATACATTGTTTTTTGTATTTTCTTACACAATTAGCCATAATTAATACTCTCTGTTTTCCTGTGTTTTAATTTGTCATTATTTTACCCTCATTCTTGAATAATCTTTTAGCGTGATATATAATTTTAGGTTGACAGTGATTTATCTTCATCATGTTAAGGATATTACTCAAGAGCTTTTTGGACATCAGTCTGGTAAGGGGTCTGACATTCGAAGCACCATTATTAATTTGCTTGTAATATTTTTTATAATAACTATAGCTGTTGTAAAAATTTATATTAGTTTTACAATCTTGGAATGGAATTATTGTGTGATTACATGGTTTAATCCTTAACTGTCATGTTTCATGCTTATCTTCATCTAGGAACCTCTCAACCATTGTCTCTTTTAATCTTGGATATCCTTATTATCTACAAGTAACCTAGAAGAAGGGGTAACTAGATAAATTTATCTAGAGAAACTAGATTTAGTCAGTCATTTTTATACTTAAGTATATTTGATGTCAAACTACTAAATATATTTACTGATGGAACAAATAAAGCTCTGAATAAAATGAGAATATGGACATTCACAATAGGCATAAGACAACCCATTAGAGGGGAATTATTAAAAGCTAAAAAAGTTGCAGTGAAAAGAACACCCTAGAATAATAAAAAGAACAAAAATGACACAGTATAGCAATGTCCATAAATCAGTATGGAACACATAGGAGTATGCTCTGGCTTCACTACAAGTGTACCATCTCTGTCTTAATAGGAATCAGTGACATCAGAATAGAAATGTAAAGTCTGATGTTAGCCTAAATGCTGTGGAAAAAATGTATACAAACATCAACTAGCTAAATGGTCAAATATTATCAGAGTTAGAAAAAAAGCCAAACAAACAATGAGGCATTAACCTTTTGAAAGCAAGATTTTGAAGTCTGGAGAATAAGATCAAGATAAAACAATAGATGTTTGACAAAATAAACAGAATCTCCCCACATGTCAACTGTATGTACTCCAGAAAAGATTGGAGGTGCCAAATAAAATTCCAGATGTTGTAGACTTTGATGTACCTACATAACGCTAATTTTACCTACTGGTAAGGTCTTGGTGAGAATGTCCCTTGGCTTTGTGGATACTTTACCCCCAACCCAGGAAGACGGTACACTTAAAAGAACAGAGGAGAGACTGGTAAATGTCAGGATCCAATGCAATGGACCTTGTTGCAGAAGTGTTAAGTTCCCTTGTGGGACCAAATATGGATCTGGCTTTCTGAAAGATACTAAATTTTCTATATTATGATTTCCCCGAGTCATGCTTTTGTACTTTAAAACAAATAGAAAATGGCAAATAGTATGTGCTCAATTATCACTTTGAATACAACTGAGCATTTTCTTTTGCATTTATAATTATTATTGTTTGTCTTTCTCAACATATTTTGATATCGGCTTTAAACTAAGTATATATAATATACTATAAGAGAAGACATATTATGTGAACCTGTTGAAAGGTAGCTCTGAAAGCAAGAAAAAAATAGCTAACACAACAATTAATGGTGAAATATTAAAAGCTTTCCCCCTGAGTGTACGGAGAAGAAAACAATGTCTACTTTCACTATTTTCATTAAACATTTACTTCAGTTTCCACCAGTGTAATAGGGAGAGAAAAACAAATAAAAGGCATGCATATTGGAAAGAAAAAATAAATTATCTTTATTTCCAAGTATGTTCCTATATAGAGTTAATGCAAAAGAACCTACCAAAAATTACAAATGATAGTCACTGGATATAATTCAATATACAAAATTCAATTTTATTTCTATGTACTAGCAACAAACAGTAGTACACTTAAAATACCACAATAGCACTGAAAATAAGCTTCATCAGAGAAAAAAAATCCATCAAAAGATGTTCAAGTTTCCTTGCTTAAAAGTACAAAACATGGTTGAAATTCTTAACAAAGGCAAACCAATAGCAATTGTAGACTATGGCCATAGATTGGAAAACTCAAAATTGTTAAAATAACATTTTTTCCCAAACTCTGTAAAGATTCAGTGTAATTTGAACCCAAGTCTCAACAGACGGAGAATTACAAAGTGATTCTCTACCAGAAATTAAGATTTATAAAGATAAAATAATGAAGGCAGTGTGGTTATTAGGGCAAGATGAGAAAATAAATCAGATTTGTGTTCAGAAAAAAACAAAACACATCTGGTTTTAGCAAAAAATGAATTCCAGGAAGAATTCATGGAATTTCTTCTTTACCCTGGGACAGGCAAGGATTTCTTAGATTGAACTCAAACAGTATTAACCATAAAAGGAAAAAACAATTACTTTGTTAAGTTAAAAAAAAAAAGTAAGCATTAAAATACAGCAGTAACAAAGTGTCTAGTCAAGCTACAGACAAAAGGAAGATAATATATTTGTTATAGGTGGATGGACTGATGGACCGATAGGTAGATAAACATATATGACACACATATGTGATAGAGAACTCTTATATAGGATTCATGAAGGACTTCAAAGCAATAATAAAAAGACAAAGACTATAAATAGGCTATATATTGAGTAGACACCTCATAAAAAGAGGCTATCCAAATGGCAAATATTATATAAAATATATATGACATTTATTTCCAGGGAAATGAAAATTAAAAGCACTACACCTCCACCAGGATAGCTGAAAAGAAAAACAAAAACTGACATTACCAGTTGAGAAACTTCTTTCATATGTTGCTAAAGGGTGTCTGAATTGATACAAACGATTTGGAGAATTGTTTAGGACAGTATACTAAAGCCAAGCATTTTTCTGCCCTATGACTCAACATTTCCAATCCTAGGTATAGATGGAAGAAAAAATATAAGTATATGATAAATAATATATATTATATATAATATGTGAATACATATTTACACAAAGACACATACAAAAATGTGTATAAAAGCTTTTAAACCTAGAAGTCTGATCTATTTTTTGATAGGGCAAAAACATATCTGCTAAACAGTAGAGTTTAGAGAAGACATTTAATCAGGTTTTTTTTTTAATTTTTTAGCAGTACTTAAATATGTATTGTGGTAATGATTCAAGATAATTATAGTATTATGGAGCTGGTTTATCCATCCCAATAGGGAAAATAAATCAACACAGAAGTTAGCTTTATAGCAAAATGAAGATTCTAAGAAATTTTGGAATAAGTGTCCTCACTATTCATGTGTTTCTCACCCAATTATTAGAACACTACACGCTGGTAAAAAAAAAAAAAAAATTCAGATTAACTGTGAGCATTAGCACTGTAAATGTTTCATGTACTGAGAAATTATTTTAATGTGATCTCTTATCCTGACTATTTAGAAGAGTATAGGGTTTTTTTTTATTTAGAAATTATTTAATAAAATGAGGCACATGCTCGCTATGTAAATAGAAACATGGAACCGATGTTGAGAAAAATGGATAATGATTTCTAATGCAGTAATAATTTAAATTTCAGTAATTTAGCTATATGATGAATATCTCTTGAGGCTTAGACAGCCTTTAATATATTTTTTTATTTTAAATTTTTGTGGGTACAGTAGGTGTATATATGGAATACATGGGATGTTTTGATACAGGCATGCAGTGTATAATACCACATGGAAAATGGGGTAGCCATCCCCTCAAGCATTTATTCTGTATTCAAATGCAATTATACTCTTTTAGTTATTGTAAAATGTTCAATTAAGTTATGAATTATAGCCTCCCTGTTGTGTTATGAAATAGTAGGTCTTATTCTTTCTACTGTTCTTTTTGTTTTTTTGTTTTTTTTTTGGTACCTATTAACCATACTTACTTCACCCCCTCACTACTTTACTACCTTCTCAGCATCTGGTAACAGTCTCTATGTCCATGAGTTCAATTGTTTTGATTTTTAGATCCCACAAATAAGTAAAAAAATGTGAAGTTTGTCTTTCTGTGCCTGGCTTATTTCACTTTACATAAGGACCTCCAATTCCATCCATGTTGTTGCAAGTTACAGGATATCATTTTTTTTTTAATGGCTGAATAGTACTTCGTTGTTATTGGTCTGTTCAGGTTTTGGATTTCTTCCTGGTTCAAATATTTGTAGGTTGTATGTGTCTAGGAATTTGTCCATTTCTTCTAGGTTTTTCAGTTTCTTGGCCTATAGTTGCTCATAATAGCCACTAATGATCCTTTAAATTTTGCAGAATGAGTTGTTATGTCTTCTTTTTCATCTCTGATTTTATTTGGATCTTCTCTATTTTTTTCATAGTCTGGCCAAAGATTTGTCAATTTTGTTTACCTTTTTTTTTAAAAAACAGCTTTTTGTTTTATTGACCTTTTGTATTTTCTTCATTTCAATTTCATTTATTTCTGCTCTGATCTTTATTACATCTTTTCCTCTATTAATTTTGGGTTTTGTTTGCTCTTGCTTTTCTAGTTCTTTAAGATGTACTGTTAACTTGTTTATTTGAAATTTTTTCTCCTTTTTGATGTAGGCACTTACAGCTATAAACTTCCTTCTTAGTACTGCTTCTGCTGTATCCCATAGGTTTGATATGTTGTGTTTCCATTCTCATTTGCTATGAAAAAATTTTTCAATCTCCTTAATTTTTTTTCATTAACTGGTCATACAAGAGCATATGCTTTAACTTCCATGTATTTGTGTAGTTTCCAAAATCTCTCACTATTGATTTCTAGTTTCATTCCATTGTGGTCAGAGAAGATGCTTGATATTATCTCAGTTTTTTAATGTTTTAAGACTTGTTTTGTGACTTAATGTATGTTCAATCCTAGAGAATGATCCAGATGCTAAGGAAAATAATGTGTATTCTGCAGCCGTTGGGTGAAAATTCTTTAAATATCTATTAGATCCATTTGATCTGCAGTGCAGGTTAAGTCCGATGTTTATTGATTTTCTATCTGGGAGATCTGTCCAATGCTGAAAGTGGAGTGTTGAAGTCTCCAGCTACTGTTGTATTGAAGCCCACAGCACTAAGTTCAATGCCTCACAATTGCTGGCTCTCCCTCTCCCTAGGGTGCGGAAACACTTTCCACACCAGGCTGCTGCTGCTGCTGCTGGGGGATGGGAGAGGGGACATTTTAGCAATTAATGACTGGTTATATTTTTAGAACCTCTTGTGTGCCTCTTACAGAAATATGAAGTTAAAACTAGGTACTGAGAGTGCTCACCTGTTTTTTGGTTTTTATGAAGGTGCTTGTTTTATGTAGATAGTTGTTAAATTGGTGTCCTTGCTGGGGGGCAATTGGTGGAGGCTTCTATTTCACTTTTTTTCTCTGCTTCTAATATTGTTAATTTACAGTAGAAATTGCTTTTGAAAAATTACGTATTCTGATTAAATTATCATTAAACCTCCTAGAGATAGAGTATCCTAGAAATACTTAATTTTCTATGAAGCACTGGGTTACTATTGTAGCAACATATGACGCCAAATGAGTAATATTTGTTTTTATTTTTAGTCATTTTAATTATAGTGATAAAATTATAAAAACAAATACTCTGAGAAGATTAAAATATCACCAATTGTTTCCAGTTCCTCATTGTTAATAAAATTCTTGGTTTAATCAGCTAAAATGTGAAGGTAACTATAATAAAAATAGTATTTCTAATAATTATAAAATACATGATCAAACTTTTTCATTGTTCTCAGGAAAATTGTAATAAATTGAATTGCATAAAAAGTGTATTTGTTTGAATATTCTTATTGTTTCAAATACTAGTTTATTAATAAATGTATGTATTGATTTACATTTAAATATATTAATGTAATTAATATATTTAAATATTCAAATTCGTATTTAATTTATTTAATGTTAATATAATATATTAAGGAATGCTTTTTAACTTTTCCTCTGCTGTATTAAGACTTAAGTAATTATCTCCAGACTGAAGATTATGAATAAAATGTTGTTAATATGTCCTTGTCTTTACTAAATTAAGGCTAATATGTATATTTTACTAGTCTACACACATATACATATACATATATTTAGCTCTTTTCTCTTTGCTCGAATATCTACCTTTCAGTGTGTATAGTAACACTTTTCAGTGTGTAAAGTAACTTTTTTAAATTTAAAAAAAGTACCTTCAATGCCAAAAATGGACATGAACAAAAATTGCAAAAAGTTTATAATCTCACCACCTGGAGATAAGAAATGTTACATGCATTTACATTATTTTAATGCATTTATAACATTTAACAAGTTATAACATTTCTAAAAATTTATTTTTTATAATCGTTTATGATGTATAGAGAGAACTTCTGAAGTTAGTACAGAGAGTTCTCATACACCCTGTGCTCAGTTTCCTTCCTGTTAAATTCACATATGTTAATAGAACAAATACATTATATTTGTTAATACTAATGAACCAGTAATCTAATCTTGATTCATTATTATTATCTCAAGTTCATACTTTATGCAGATTTTACTAGTTTTTGACTTTTTCTTTCTGTTTTGAGATTCCATTCAGGATACCACATTACATTCTAGTGTCACATCACCTCTGGCTCATCTTGGCTGTGACAGTTTATTAGATTTCCCTTATATTGATGACTTTGATAGTTCTCAATTTTACTGGTCAGGTAATTTGTAGAATGTCCCTATCTTAGGATTTGTCTAATGTTTTTCTTAAAGTAGGGCTATGGGTTTGAGGGAGGAAGGGGATGGTTAAAGTGCTGTTTTCATCACATTATATCAAGAGTATACATTATCACATGACCTATTGCTGTTCATGTTAGTATTTATTACCTGGCAGAGGTTGTGCTTGTCAGGTTTCTCCACTGTAATGTTATTTTTCCTCTTTCCATACGCTATTCTTTGTAAGGAAGTGACAATGAGCAGTCCACACTTAGAGTGGGGAGTTCTGCTCCACCTTCTTGAGCATGAAATATCTATATAAATTATTTGGAATTTTTCTGCATGGTAGATTTTCCTCTTCTACCATTTTATGTATTCATTCATTTATATTAATATGGACTCATAGGTATTTATTTTATATTTGGGTTACAATCCAATACTACTTTATTCTTTAAATTGTTCCAGTTTTGGTTGGGATCTCTTTCATTTGGCTCCTGTGTGTGGGTTTTTTCTGGGTTTTTTTTTTTTTTTTTTTTTTTGAGATGGAGTCTCGCTCTGTCAACCAGGCTGGACTGCAGTGGCGCAATCTCGGCGCACTGCAAGCTCCGCCTCCTGGGTTCACGCCATTCTCCTGCCTCAGCCTCCCCAGTAGCTGGGACTACAGACACCCGCCACCACACCTGGCTAATTTTTTGTATTTTTAGTAGGGACGGGGTTTCACTGTGTTAGTCAGGATGGTCTCAATCTCCTGACCTTGTGATCGCCCGCCTTGGCCTCCCAAAGTGCTGGGATTACAGGCGTGAGCCACTGCGCCCGGCTGGCTCCTGTGTGTTTTTTAATATACCTCCAGCAAAGGGCATGTTATTTGTTTAAGTACTTCATTACTTTCTGTCACTGTGAGATCCTTCAGACTCATCTTGTGTATTTTCTGCCCCAGTCCTAGAATCAGCTAGTTTAATGCAAGGAATCCTGGTTCTTTCTACTGAAGAATGGTATCAGAAATGAAGGTCTAGGTTCCATGTGTGACCGTTGCTACTGAGATTTCACTACTTCTAGACATTCTCAGCCAATGGAACAAAGAAATGTGTGTGTTTATCATAACCAGTATATATACACACATACATATATATTTCCATATGTAACCACCTGTGTCTGCATTAACCTAAGTATAAGTTCATATTCATGTACCTGAGTATCATCCATTACTACATGGGTTATTCTGGCATCTTTCTCTTGCTTATATGTAAACTCCCACCATCTGCCATTGACTTAATTGATCAATTCTAGTATACATATATAGCAGTATTAGAATACTGCTCTGATACTGCACTCATCTCCAAAATTCTTTGGGTTAATATGTTTCCCCCACCCTTATCTCAATAAGCTTATTCCGTACATTGGTTATTCATAATCAAAGTATAGTTAGATTCTTTTGTTACAACTAGCATTCTATTCTGGGGACCCTCAACCAGCAAAACATTTGTCTTTTTTTCTAATTACACATTAAGGTTCACTGTTTGTTCTGTGAAGTTATATGAGTTTTATTTCATAGGTAAAGTCAGGTATCCATCATTCAACTATCATATTGAATATTTTCACTGCCGTGAAAAATCCCCTGTGCTTTCACCTTCTTAATCAGAATAATTGGCAGCAATTAATCTTTCTATTGTCTTTGTAAGTTTGCTTTTTCCAGGATGTCATATAATTTGAATCATATAGTATGTAGCCTTTCAGATTGTTTTCTTTCTCCTAGAAATATACATATGTTTCATCCATTTCATGACTTGATAGTGCATTTCTATTTATCATAAAAAATGCTGCATTGTATGAAAGTATCCCAATTTGCTAATTCATTCACATCTTGGTGATTTCCAAGTTTAGGCAATTAAGAATAAGCCTGCTATGAACATTTCTTCCTGTTTCAAATTAGTTAGGTAAGTACCAAGGAGTACAATTGTTGGATCATATGACAAGACTATATTTACCCCTATCTGTCTTCCAAAGTAGATATAACATTTGACATAACCACCAGCAATGAAAGAGAATTCCTGTTGCTCAATCTCCGAGCCAGAAATTGATATTGCTGGCATATTTGGATTTTATCCATTGTAATAAGTGTGATATGTACTAGGATCAAATGAACATCATTTCATATGCTTATGGGCCATTTGTATATCTTCTTTGATGAGGTGCCAGATCTATTTTCTATTTGTAATCAGGTTGTTTATTTTCCTATTACTGAGTTTTAGGAGTTATGTGTATACTTTGGGTAGGATTCCTTCATAAGATACATCTTTTGCAAATGTTTTCACCCAGTCTATGACTCACCCTCTCATTTTGTTGACATTGTCTTTCTCAGAGCAAAAGTACTTAATTTTAAGTAAGTCCAACTTAGTTTTTTTCATGAATCATGACTTTTTACTGTATCTAAAAGGTACTGCCAAATACAAATTTATGTAAATATTATCCTATTTTCTAAGAGTTTGATAGTTTTGCATTTTATATTTAGGTCTGTCACCTATTTTTAGTTAGTATTTGTGAATGTTGTAGATATGAGTCTAGAATCATCGTTTCATGTATATATCCAGCATACCAGCACCATTTACTGAAAAGATTACCATTTCTCCATTTAATTTGCCTTTGATCATTCATCAAATACCAGTTAACTATATTTGCAAAGGTATATTTTTAGATTGGCTATTCTGTTTCATTGATCTCTGTGTCTGTTCTTTTGGCAATAACATAGTGTCCTGATTACTATACCTTTGCATTAAGCTTTTCTATTGGAAAATAGGAGACCTCCAACTTTGTCCTTCTTCTTCAGTATCGTGTTGGCTCTTCTAGGTCTTTTACTTTCCTCTATAAACTGTAGCATCAATTTGTTGAAATCTGTAAAATAGCTTTCTGGGGTTTTGCTTGTAGTTATACACTGAATCTATAGGTCCATCTGCGAAAAATTAACACCTTAAAATGTTTAATTGTTCAAGCTACAAGCATGGTACATTTCTCTATTCACTTAGTTCTGTGTTTTTTGTTTTTGAAATTAGAGTTTTGGAGTTTTTTACATATATGTATTGTACATATTTTGTTAGATTTGAGGTTATTTAAAGTTTTTGGTGCTATTGCAAAAATGGTATTACATTTAAAAATTTCAAACTCCAATTGTTCATTTTTGATTAGGAAAGCAATTCGCTTTTGTATATTAATCTTGTATCTGTGACCACGATTTATTCACTTATAAATTTCAGGAGTTTCTTGTTAATTCTTTGGGATTTTCTACATAGACAACATTGTCATTTGTGAATAAACACAGTATATTTTTCCCCCAAACCTGTATATTTTATTTCCTTTCAGTGTCCCATTTCACTAGATAGGAATTTTAGTTCAATGTTGAATAGGAGTGTTGACAGAAGTTATCTTTGTTCCTGATCCTAGGAGTAAATTGTCACCAGGATATTTCTTACCATTGAAGATGATGCTACCTGTAAGATTTTTGTAGATGTTCTTTGTAAAGTTGAGTATGTACTTTATTTCTAATGGCTGAAACTTTTTCTCATGAATGAGTGAATACCTGGAATATATCATGTATACTTTTTAAAAATTCATTGTTATATTTGATTTGCTAATATTTTGTTGAGTGCTTTTGCATATGTATTTGTGAGAGATAATGGTCTGTAGTTTGTCTTTGTAATGTCCTTATTTTTATTTTTTAAACTTTAAGTTCTGGGGTACATGTGTAGAACGTACATGTTTGTTACATAGGTATACATACATGTGCCATGGTGCTTTGCTTCATCTATCAACCCATCATCTAAGTTTTAAGCCCCACATGCATTAGGTATTTGTCCTAATGCTGTCTGTCCCTTTGGCCTCCATCCCCCAACAGGCCCTGGTGTGTGCTGTTCCCCTCCCTGTGTTCATGTGCCCCCATTGTTCAACTCCCACTTATGAGTGAGAACATGTGGTGTTTGGTTTTCTGATCCTGTGTTAGTTTGCTGAGAATGATGGTTTCCAGCTTCATCCATGTCCTGAAGAGGATATGAAATCATCCTTTTTTATGGCTGCATAGTATTCCATGGTGTATATGTGCCACATTTGCTTTATCCAGTCTATCACTGATGGGCATTTGGGTTGGTTCCAAGTACTTGCTATTGTAAATAGTGCTGCAGTAAACATATGTGTACATGTGTGTTTATAGTAGAATGATTTATAATCTTTTGGGTACATACCCAGTGATGGGATTGCTGGGTCAAGTGGTATTTCTGGTTCTAGACCCTTGAGGAATCACCACACTGTCTTCCACAATGGTTTAACTAATTTACAGTCCCACTAAGAGTGTAGAAGCATTCCTATTTCTCAGTAGCCTCACCAGCATCTGTTGTTTCCTGACTTTTTAAAGATCGCCATTCTAACTGGTGTGAGATAGTATCTCATTGTGTTTTTGATTTGCATTTCTCTAATGACCAGTGATGATGAGCTTTTTTTTGTATGTTTGTTGGCTGCATAAATGTCTTCTTTTGAGAAGTGTCTGTTCATATCCTTTGCCCACTTATTGATGTTGTTTTTTTCTTGTAAATTTAAGTTCCTTGTAGATTCTGGGTATCAGACCTTTGTCAGATGAGCAGATTGCAAACATGTTCTCCCATTCTGTAGGTTGCCTGTTCACTCTGATGAAAGTTTCTTTTGCTGTGCAGAAGCTCTTTAGTTGGATTAGATCCCATTCGTCAATGATTGCTTTTGTTGCAACTGCTTTTGGTGTTTTAGTCATGAAATCTTTGCTAATGCATATGTCCTGAATGGTATTACCTGGGTTTTCTTCTAGGGATTTTATGGTTTGGGGTTTTACATTTAAGTCTTCAATCCATCTTAAGTTTATCTTTTGTATAAGGTTAGGGAAGGCATCTAGTTTCTGTTTTCTGCATGTACCTAACCAGTTTTCCCAGCACCATTTATTAATAGGGAGTCCTTCCCTCATTGCTTGTTTTTGTCAGGTTTATCAAAGGTTAGATGGTTGTAGATGTGTGGTGTTATTACTGAGGCGTCTGTTCTGTTCCATTGGTCTATATATCTGTTTTGGTACCAGTACCATGCTGCTTTGGTTACTGTGGCCTTGTAGTATAGTTTGAAGACAGGTAGTGTGATGCCTCTGGCTTTGTTCTTTTTACTTAGGATTGTCTTGGCTATACGAGCTCTTTTTTGGATCCATATGAAATTTAAATTAGTTTTTTCTAATTCTGCAAAAAAAGCCAGTGGTAGCTTGATGGGAATAGCATTGAATCTATAAATTACTTTGGGCCGTATGGCCATTTTCACCATACTGATTCTTCCCTTCCATGAGCGTGGAATTTTTTTCCATTTGTTTGTGTCCTCTTTTATTTCCTTGAGCAGTGGTTTGTAGTTCTCCTGGAACAGATCCTTCACTTCCCTTGTAAGTTGTAATCCTAGGTATTTTATGCTCTTTGTAGCAATTGTGAATGTGAGTTCACTCATGATTTGGCTCTCTGCTTGTCAGTTGTTGGTCTATAGGAATGCTTGTGATTTTTGCACATTGATTTTGTATCCTGAGACTTTGCTGAAGTTGCTCATCAGCTTAAGTAGTTTTTGGGGTGAGATGATGGGGTTTTCTAGATATAGGATCATGTCATCTGGAAAGAGAAACAACTTGAATTCCTCTCTTCCCATTTGAATACCCTTTATTTCTTTCTCTTGCCTGGTTGCCCTGGCCAAAATGTCTAATACTATGTTGAATAGGAGTGGTGAGAGAGGTCACCCTTGTCTTGTGCCAGTTTTCAAAGGGAATGCTTCCAGTTTTTGACCATTCAGTATGATATTGGCTATGGGTTTGTCATAAATAGCTCCTATTATTTTGAGATGTTCCATTGATATCTAGTTTTTTTGGACAGTTTTTAGCATGAAGGGGTGAATTTTATTGAAGACCTTTTCTGCATCTATTGAGATAATCATGTGGTTTTGTCATTGGTTCTGTTTATGTGATGGATTACATTTATTGGTTTACTTATGTTGAAGCAGACTTTCATCCCAGGGATGAAGCCAGCTTGATTTTGGTGGATAAGCTTTTTAATGTGCTACTGGATTTGGTTCGCCAGTATGTTATTGAGGATTTTTGCTTTGATGTTCATCAGGGATATTGGCCTGAAATTTTATTTTTTTGTTGTGTCTCTGCTAGGTTTTGGTATCAGGATGTTGCTGGCCTCATATGAGTTAGGGAGGAGTCCCTCTTTTTCTGTTGTTTGGAATTGTTTCAGAAGGAATGGCACCAGCTCCTCTTTGTACCTCTTGTAGAATCTGGCTGTGAATCCGTCTGGTCCTGGGCTTTATTTTTTTGGTTGGTAGGCTATTACTGCCTTAATTTTAGAACTTGTTATTGGTCTATTCAGGGATTCAACTTCCTCCTGGTTTCATCTTGGGAGGGTGTATGTGTCCAGGATTTTATCCATTTCTTCTAGATTGTCTAGTTTATTTGCATAGAGGTGTTGTTTATAGTATTCTCTCATGTTAGTTTGTATTTCTGTGGGATCAGTGGTGATAACCCCTTTATCATTTTTTATTGTGTATTTGTTTATTCTCTCTTTTCTTCTTTATTAGTCTAGCTAGTGGTCTATTTTGTTAATCTTTTCAAAACACTAGCTCCTGGAATCTTTGAATTTTTGAAGGGTTTTTGTGTCTCTTTCTCCTTCAGTTCTGCTCTGATCTTAATTATTTCTTGTTTTCTAGCTTTTGAATTCATTTGCTCTTGCTTCTCTAGTTTTTAAAATTGTGATGTTAAGGGGTCGATTTCAGATCTTTTTAGCTTCCGATGTAGACATTTAGCGCTGTAAATTTCCCTCTTAACGGTGCTTTAGCTGTGTCCCAGAGATTCTGTTATATTGTTTCTTTGTTCTCATTGGTTTCAAAGAACTTCTTTATTTCTACCTTAATTTTGCTATTTACTCTGTAGTCATTCAGGAGCAGGTTGTTCAATTTCCATATCTTTGTGGTGTTTTGAGTGAGTTTCTTAATCCTGAGTGCTAATTTGATTGTACTGTGGTCTGAGAGACTGATGTGATTTCTGTTATTTTGCATTTGCTAAGGAGTGTTTTACTTCCAATTATGTGGTCAATTTTACAATACGTGCTATGTGGCACTGACAAGAATGTATATTCTGTTGATTTGGGGTGGAGGGTTCTGTAGATGTCTATTAGGTCTGCTTGGTCCAGAGCTGAGTTTAAGTCCTGAATATCCTTGTTAATTTTCTGTCTCATCAATCTGTCTAATATTGACAGTGTGGTGTTGAAGTTTCCCACTATTATTGTGTGGGAGTCTAAGTCTCTTTATAGGTCTCTAATAACTTGTTTTATGAATCTGGCTGCTCCTGTATTGAGTGTATATATATTTAGGACAGTTAGCTCTTCTTGTTGCATGGATCCTTTTACCATTATGTAATGCTCTTCTTTGTCTTTTTTGATCTTTTTTTTTTTTTTGGTTTAAAGTTTGCTTTATTAGAGACTAGGATTGCAACCCCTGCTTTTCTTTTTTTTCTTTTTAATTTTTTTTTGCTTTCCATTTCTTTGGTAACTATTTCTCCATCTTTTTATTTTGATCCTATGTGTGTCTTTGCACATGAGATGGGTCTCCTGACTACAGCACAATGATGGGTCTTGAGTCTTTATCCACTTCGCCAGTCTGTGTCTTTTAGTTGGGGAATTTAGCCCATTTACATTTAAGGTTAATATTGTTATGTGTGAAATTGATCCTGTCATCATGATGCTAACTGGTTATTTGTTTTTAGTATTGAGGTAATGTAGACCTCACAGGATGAGTCAAGAAGCTTTACTCATGCTTCTATTTTCTGAAAGAGACATTGCTGTACTGGCATAGTTTATTGCTTAAAAAATTGGTGGAAATTAGCAGTGAATCCCTCTGGTTTGATTTTTTTTTTTTTTTTTTTTTTTTTTTGCAAAATGATTAGTTTTTGATGCTATTACTTTAATAAATAAAGGCCTATTATGATTATCTACTTCTGTATGGGGTTTTTATTGTAAAGTCTTTCAAGGAAAATGTCCATTTAATTTAAGTTTTCAAATTGGTAGGAATGAAGTTGCTCACAGTATTCTTTTATTATAATTTTAATATCTATGAGAATAGGGATAACTCCTCTTTCATTTCTGAACCTTGTAAATGGTGTTTCCCCTTTCTTGTTTAGTTGGCTATAGTTTATTAATTTTATTGATCTTTATGAAGATCCAGTTTTTGGTTTTCTTGGTGGTGGTGGTTTGTTGTTGATTTTCTGTTTTTGAATCATTGGTTTGTGCTCTAGTTTTTATATTTTTGTCCTCCTGATTTTCAGCTTAAATTTCTCTTTTTCTCATGTTTCAGGGTAGAACATTTGGCTGTATTTAGGTCTTTTTGTTTTTCTAATTTTTGAACTTAATAAATTTCCTTATAAGCACAACTTTTACTGGCATAATTTATTGAAATAATTTAGTGAAATAATTTATTGGCAAATCATATGCATAAAAGAAATTTCATAAGGAATTCAGCAAATAGTAGGAAAATGATAATAGATTACAAGTTAGATCAACACATAGGATTAAGGAATGCTAGAAATGGTAAATGTGTGGAAAATACAAAGGTTTGTATTTTCCTTTGTATTATCTGTAAATCACACTTGAATCTTTAAAACTAATAACAATAAATTATACAATTAAAACAAGAGTAATATAGGTGAGCACAAGTTATTTGTGAAGTAAAAATAAATTATACTGTTTTGTAGTTCTTGCATTATTGTGTAAATGTCCCATGATCCTTTGGGTGTTGCTTGACCAGCCAAAAACCTCTGCGGCTTGAGTTTCACTCATGCCCACTGGACTTGTTCCATCCACTGAGCCCTGAAGGCTGTGCTCAGCTCGCGCTGCCAGCCGAGATCTCATGCCTGTCAACGGTGAGCCAGGCGCAGAGCAATGAGGGTTATGTGAGCAAGTGAGTATGGGGTCTGGCCACTGTGCACAGCCATGTGAGCCAGCTGCTGCAGTGGGACAGGCTGCTCCAGGTGCTGGATTTGTGCAAAGCTGCAGCTGGACCAGCCATATTGCAAGTCGCTTCCGCTGCAGGTGCCAGCGTCTGGATGATGGGAACATGGTGGGTCATAAAAACTTGGAGACGCCAGCAATCACATATCCCCAAGGGACTGGGGGGAATGCTAAGCTGTATCTTTCCCACTGCCAGCAGCTTGGCAAGTAGGGGTGAGGGGCATGTTTTCAATTCAATCAGTCCTGCTCCCTTGCTCTGGCCCATGGCTCCCAGGCTAGCCGACCCCGCCACCACTTTGCATCACATGGGGTGGACACCTGATGCCAGCAGAGGGCAGGAGGGCTATAGTGTTACAGCTCTGGCTCAGGAAATCCTGAGACCTGGGCCCCCAGAAGGGTTACTGCCCTTCCCTGCCAAAATCTGACAAATGGGAGCTTGTCATTACCCACAGCTCAGCGAGCTGGCCAGGAACGTGTTATAGCCTGTTTTGCACTTGCCTTGTACTGGGTCCCGAGTTCTTGTCCTGCATTCAGGAAGAATAAGGTTACACAGACACCTGGAGGGTGAGAAAGGCAGAGAAGAGTATTGAGTGAACAGAACAGCTCTCAGCAGAGAGGAGACGTTAAGTGGGTATATTCTACCCACAGGTGGGTGGTCCTGACATGTGGCTGATTCCAGGGTTTTATGAGCTCAGAATGCACAAAGTGTGTGCTGGTTGGTCCATTGGCAGCCCTGGAAAAAGCACCTATTAACTGGCTGAAAGGCATCAAGCAAGTTCTCACTCTGGGTCATGAATTCCACCTGGAACTGGAAGCCTGGGTCTCAGGCTTGAGGCTGCCTTTGGC
The DNA here is from genome assembly GCF_000001405.40 of Homo sapiens. Lineage (NCBI taxonomy): Eukaryota > Metazoa > Chordata > Mammalia > Primates > Hominidae > Homo > Homo sapiens. Next base: position 97,537,049 of record NC_000011.10, on the reverse strand, counting down.
TTGAAGGTTGAGTTTTACCAGGGACCCCCCCATCTGCCTAGGAATTTGTCTGCCTCCTGCCACTATCATAAAGTTACATAAAATGTCATTTAAAATTACACTGTTATAACTGCATATTGTATTACATAAAAAAATTATTAAAAATATAAAATCAATGAGGTATAACTAGTAACCCCAAGAGAACTTAAGATGGAATACTGAAAAGCGAAAATCCTCAAGCCCAAAGAAGGCAAGAATAGAGGATAAAAAGAAAATATAGATGGAAAAAGCAGAAAATTAATAGAAAATTACTGACTTAAACCCAACCATGTCAATACTCTATCAGATATTAATGAATTAAACTGACTAAGAGAAAGAATTTTTGGCCAGGTGTGGTGGCTGACACCTATAATCCCAGCACTTAGGGAGGCCAAATCAGCCATATTGCTTGAGCCCAGGAGTTTGAGACAGCCTGGAAAACATGGCAAAACCCCATTCTACTAAAAATACAAAAATTAGCCTGGCATGGTAGCACACACCTGCAGTTCCAGCTACTTAGAAGGCTGAGGCATGAGAATCACTTGAACCCGGAAGGTGGAAGATGCAGTGAGCCAAGATTGGCCACTACACTCCAGCCTGGGCAACAGAGTGAGGCTCTATCTAAAAAAAAAAAAAAAAAAAAAAAAAAAAAAGTCGGGGTGGTGGTGGTGGGGGGAAAGAATTTTGTAAGACAAAGATTTATCTGCTTGTTGCCTATAAAGCATGTTATTTAATTACATTTAAGATTTCCCATAAGGGGATGGGAAAATACTTCAAAAACATTCTTTACAATGTACATACATATATGCATATACACTCACTTCAAAAGAAAGCTAGAGTGGATATATTAATACCAATGATATTCAAAGTAGAAATCAGGACAAGTCATGTAACATTTACCAAACCACAGAATGGATCCTTAAAACATATCTTTATATATTTCAAATGATTAAAATCATAAGTTGAAATTCTTTAAGGTTAAATTAGAATTTGATACTTGAAAGATAAAATCAAATAAAATTAAATACATACTTCTATATAATGGCAGTGAGAAATTGCAGGATAAATTAGAAAATAACTTGAACTGAATTATAACAGAAAATACAAACTACATATTAAAAATGTACAATGTAGCTACAGTAATTTTTAGAAGTAAATGTTTAACTTTAAATACATAGGATAGTATAAAAACCACTATAATACTAAGCTTATACTATAAAAGGTATGAATTTAAAAGATCAAATTAAATCCAATATGAATAAAATGAAGAAAGTAATATAGATAAGAGTACACTTCAAAATAAACATTGAACAAATAAAAACAAACAAAAATCGGTTGCTGGAAAATATCAATAATATTAATTAGCCTCTACTTATACTATCGAAAAAAAAACAAACACAAACATATATAAGGAATGATAGAATAGGCATCACTAAATAAACCCCAGGCAGTAAAAATATAATAATATGAACAAATCCATGTCATTCAAATCCCTTGAAAGAAATAAATTACCAAAATGATGACAAGGATATTCCAAGAATATGAATAGCCCTCTATTAAAGCAATCAAATTTAGAATTTAAAAAAACTTCACTAAATAAAACTCTAGTTTTTATTCTGAAGATATGGCTTTATTGTTGGATTCTATCAAATATTTAGGTAGAATTGTTTAATACCAATTATATAATCTTATAACTTTTCTTGGAAAGAACAAACATTTCTTAACTTATTTTAGAATGACAGCCTCTCTGAGGCCAAATCCAGAGAAGGGACTTACTAAAAAATAAAACTTCAGAGAAATAGCTCTTATACACGTAGTTGAAAAAATCTTTAACAAAATAATATCAAATTAAATATAACAACATGTAATTGTTATATATCACAATCAACTGGATTTATACCAGCATTGCAAAGTTTTATTAACATTCAAAAATTTATCAATGAAATTGATCACAACAGAATAAAAAAATCCCATAATGCTCTCAATAGAGCCAGAAAAATATTTATCAAAACTAACATCATTCACAAAAAATAAATCAGAATTATAAGAATTCAAAGGAATTTGTTCTATCAAGAGTACATTTAAACAAAAACTTAGAACATTATATTTAGATTTGAAATATTGGACACTTCCCTTGCTAATATAAAGCAAAGCAAAGATGTTGGCTCTTTCCACTCCTATTTGACAAGTGGAGATTCAAGTAATATAATAAGGCCTCCTGTGTCACTATCCAAACCCCTATTATAAAAAAGCATCTAGGAGAAGTACAATTGTTTTTATTTAAGAAAATATTAACTATAAAGTTTATACAGATAAGATAATAAACTTACAAAAATGTATATGTGAATTTAGTAGGGCTACAGGAAACAAGGTCACCACACAAACACGCATACCAAAAATTTTTTGATAATGTAACTTAAAAACAAAACTAGTTATATAGTATCAGGAAACACAAGATATACAAAAAGGAATGTAATATATATATATACTAGACTTATTGAAAACTATAAAACTCTTCTTAGAGAAATAACAGAATATCTAAATAAACTGAGAGCCAGCACGTTCCCTGATTGGAAGAAAATACTGGGATGTAAATTACCTGACAATTGATGTAGCACTAGTCCAGTCAAAATCCAAGAAAATTTTTTTAGAGATTGACACATTTAAAAATTACTCAGTAGTGCAAAATGTTTATCATTGACAAAATAATTCTGTAAACAAAAGTGGGGGCGAAGACATTTCTGATATCAAGACTCACTGTCAGTATATTCCATTTCAGTGTAATTTAACTAGTTCAGAAATACAACCACACATATGTGGTTCAAGGCTTTTTAACATTAGGGTCAAAGTAATTAAAGGGTGGAAGTTAGGTGTAAATGAATAGTCTTTTCATTCAGTTACACTGAAATATCTGAGTATCCATTTGGAAAAAAACAAAAATCTAGAACCCTACCTCACACAATGCATACAAGTTAACTTAAAATGTATCACAGTCATAGGCCTAAATTTCAAAGGTAAACTTATTAAGCTTCTTTTCCAAGAAAACAGAGGAAAAGTTCTCAACTATGCAAAGATTTCTTAGACAGGAAACACAAAACCCTACCTTTAAAAGAAAACTTTGGTAAAATGTACTTCAGCAGCTGTTAAAATTACAATTCATTGAAATGCAACGTTGGGAAAATGAAAAGGCAAGCTGCAGACTATGAGGGAATATTTGCATTTCATATATATCGCAAAAGACTTGTTCTCAGAACATGGAAAGTAATTTTCAGACTTAATGTTAAAAACAAAAGCAATAAAAATAATGGTAAAAAACTTGAATAAACATTATACACATGAAGATATACAAATAAACAGTAAGTACTGGAAAAGTCTCACTATTTTTAGTCATCAGGAAAATACAAAGTAAAACCATACATTTACTATATGGTAGCTAGAATGGCTAAAAGTTATAAGACACATAATATTAAGTGTTGACTAAGACGTAAAGTTACTGAAAGTCACAAATGGCTAGTGTGAGTGTCAAGTATTATAATTACTCTAGAAAACACCTTGGCAGTTTCTTATAAAGTTAAGTATACACATAACACATGACCCAGTGATTCTACTCCTAGGTAAATTCTACACCCAAGGTAAATTTTTTTTAATGTTCAACAAAAGACTTGTACAAAAATGTTCACAGAGCTCTACTAATAATAGCCAAATACTTGAAACAACCTAAATGTCCAGCAAAAAAAATGCATGGATAAACAAATTGTGATATATCCATACAGTGAACATTGTTCAGCAATGAAAAAGAATGTATTAATACAAGCAAGAACATAGATAAATATCTGAAATATAGACATACACCACGTAATATTTTGGTCAGTGATGGACACATATACAATGGAGGTCTCAAAAGATAGATAATGATGCTGCCTTATACAGGTGTACCATTTTTTATCTTTTATACTGTAATTTTACTCTACCATTTTACAGTAACATACTATTTTACATACATGGTATGTAGCCTAGGAGCAATAGGCTTTTCATACAGCCTGTGTGTACAATGAGCTATACCATCTAAGTTTGTGCAACTATACTCTATAATGTTCATACAATGAAAAACTCACCTAACCATGCACTTTTCAGAACATATCTCCATCATTAAATGTCATGTGACTGTATTGTCAGTAAAAGAAACCAAGACAGACATAAATGAATATATAGAATGTTATTCCATTTTCATGAAGTTCAAGTACTGAGAAAAAAGTTAACCTATATTGAATATTGATCAGATAACTGTGTTCCTGAAGTGGAAGTTGGGTAGATTTATGACAAAGAAAAACTTTTTTGTTGTTGGAAATTAATTTGATTGGGATGGTGGGCATATGGCTTTAAACTTTTGTCTAAAATCATTGACCTCTACACTTAAAATTGATGTATGTTACTACACGTAAATTATGCTGCAGTATATTTAAATACCTATGAAAATCTACGAGATTTTAAAAGGAAAATTTGTGTTTTTTAGCTCTGGCTAAGAGCTATGCTAGGAAAATGAATTATTAATCTGTATATTTCATATGAAAAATAAAATGTGAAAAATTATCCAAACAAAATTGGAGTGTTAAAATATTCTTGGTAGGCAAAAAGTATAAGTATCTATTATACATGAATGCAATAGGCAAATCATCTGAAATACAATTGTTCTTTAAGAGTCTTGATAGTCTATACGGAAAACACCAGATCTATAGACTATGTTTTAGTAGATTAGATCTAAGAGTTGGTTTTGATTTGACATGAGAATATAATATGAAATAATTCTCATTTATCATAAATAATTAGATATAATTTGGAAAACAGTTTTATTCACAATTTGCCCCAAAACTGAAACTTATGTAGAGGTAAATCTATGAAATGTTAAAAATTGCAAAAATAATAGATTTTTAACATTCTCACCATGAAAAAGATAAACTGGTGAGGTGATAGATATGTTAATTAGCTTTATTAAATTTTTCTGCAATACATACATTTATCAGAATATCACATTGTACACCAAAAACATACAAAATTCATTTTGTCAATTAAAAGTAAATACATTTTTTAAAATTTGCAGGGACTTTAGGGAAAAAAGTATGAATGATAATTAAGACGTAAAACTTTCATTGATTGTTATTGTCAAATTAGGGATTTACAATTTTCTTTAGTTGTAGGAAATTCTTCACCCATATGGTTTAGAATTTTGCCTCTGCACCATTCTTTGAATTCTTTTTCTGAAAACATTATTGGACTATTGGTACAACAGCTAAGTTATGATTTCTTACCTAACATAATGATTCAATCCCTTTTTATATCTTTTATACTTTCTAGCAAACGATATAAGATCCATATAAATGGAGATATTTGTCAGTTTTCTCCCTCCCCCACCCCAACAACTAATGCATCCCAAATGCCTAGAACAGTGGCTGACTCACTGCAGGTACTCAATTTATATTTGTTAAATGAAAAGATGAATAATGCCTCATCACTGTGTTGTTGGTGAATTTCTCAGTTATAGTCTTTGAAATGCAGAGCAATAAATACAGACATGCAGTTAAGACTTGGACTCTGGAACCAGAATACCTTGGTCAGAATATAGGTATCATCTCTTAATTGAAAATTATCAAGTATTTTGGGGAACATTGCTTAACTTGTATGTCCTTCAATCTCCTTATTTGCAGAAAGGGGATATTGGGGATTTGTTGTGATGATTAAATAATCAATGTATTATGTGCTCAGAACACTGCTTGGCACATAGTAAAGCCTTTATAGTTATTGACTAATAATCTGCTAATTCCCTATATATATATATGTTTCACGTCTGCCAACTAACCTATCTATTGCCTTTACAATTTCAGTGACTACATTTTTTATTTTTGGTATGTTACTGTTTTTCTGATTATCAACTACATGTTTAAAAGATTAAAAGTATTATATGAATCCACAAATATGCACATATTACAATTGGAAATATTGATGAATTTGCCCAAAATAAAAATGTATACAATATGTACTGAGATCAAGAAGTACAATATTAGGACCTCAGAAACTCCCTTTTGTTTATTTCAGACATTGCATAATAGCTCATCATTGAATATTATTACACAGTGAAAATATGAATATATTGCAGTATATGTATCTGTTGTGCTATTGGTAGTTTTTTAGTTTTCAGTTTTTATAACCAACAGATTTTGTTTCATAAACTTTTATTTTTGGATCACTGTTGCTAATTCCTAATTTAACTCTTAAAATTTAAATACAATTAATTAAACATTTTCAAATTGTTATATTTGTCCTATTCCTTATTTTAATTTTTGGTCTTTTGAGTGTATTTATTAGTCTTATCATAGCTTTGTAGTTCTTGTTGATGAGTTTCTGATTTAAATACATAAATATTATCCCTTGTAGATGATTTCAAAGATGTTAGTATATACGATATTAAATCAGCTGACGTTAGTGAATCAGTTCTGATTTGTCAACCAACAGACATGATGTTATCCTGGGGTCTTTAATCACAGGTAGTACAGCACATGAGTATGCTATGCCTCAATCTCAGGCCAGTTTTCTTCATTAGCTACAACCTTAGGCAAACAGGTGAAGTATTCTAACATCAATTCATGCACTGTCTTCCTAGACCTCGATTTAAATTGCACATGCAGCCCCAGTCTCACACTGTATGGAGACTGAATTTGACTCCATCCTCTAGTAAGTGATGGGCTCCCTTCCTGTTCTCAGCTCCCCACAAGCAATTTTTCTGTAGAGCTTTAGCCATTGCTTTCTATATTTTCTATTTCTTGTCTATACAAATTTGTTTAAGCATAGGTATGTGCTTAATTATTATTTTCACATTTTATCTGAAAGATATCCTCTAGTTGGAGGATAAAATATTTAGTATTTGTTATATACATCATCTTGACCTAGAGTATCTATGTTAACTCTTAAATAAAAAGTGAATGCTTTTTCTTTCCTCCTTGCATGAAAACATCTTTACTTTCAACACAAAATTTTAAAAACAGAAGTCAATTTCTACATCTACTACAACATATCTTAATTTCAAATTTTTACATCTGTTTCAAGGAGAATGATCCCTGGTTCTTTCTCATATTTAGTACAGCTGTGTAAAAGTTTTTATTACATGTCAAGAAATAGAGCATCAAACAACAGGAAGTACAGTGGTAATAGCAGGATTTAAATGAACTGATTTCTTCCTCAAATATTTAACCCTTCATATTTGGTATAAGTGAATGCAACAATATTTCTCAACTGTTCAAAATTCAAATTACTCATTTGTGAGTTTATCAGAGTCTATATTTCCTTTTTAGATCCTAATATAATTTGTGTAGAATCCCATGTAATATAATCTAATTTTCAATTGGAAAGTTAAAATTGCCTTAGAGGCTTATAATTTTTTTGAATATGATGGAGACAATCCAAAGCAGCAATATATTGTCTGGTGCACTCGACAGGGGCAGGAACATTGATTAAAATGAAGATCATATCATTTATTAGTCCTCATTCAATAAGATATATTGCATTTTTACCTTAATTAATCTTAATTACAAATAATAAAGGATTTGTATAAATGTCACAATCATTTTCTTAGCATTGTTAGACATAGATGCTGATGGTCATGAATATTAAATCCTAAACCACAATATAATACATAGATAATTGCTTATATATATACACACACACATATATACACCCACACACATATATACACACACATATACATATGTACACACACATATACATATATACACACACATATACATATATACACACATATATATGTATATACTTGTACCTATATATGCTAATATGTATGTATTGTGAATACGCCTTTACCTCTGATATCTGTCACATCAATTGTCTCAACTACATAAACCTTCTCCAATCTTGACCCTACCCTTAAGCCTTGCCTATTTGCCTCTCTCCTAGAGCAATGCTTCTCAAACTTTAAGCGTTGCTTAAAGCACCGGTGACAGTGATACTCACACCTGAAGTCCAGAAAGCATACAATATCTGAAACACAAAAGCCACTCAATGTTTGCTAAGTGAATACATGAAATAATAACAATAGTAATAACCAAAATAAATACTTTGGTTCAATTAACTATATTAATCATTTCATGCTCAAGTATTCCAATTTATTCTCACAACAATCACATAAGGTAGGTTTCTGAATTTCAGAATTCTTATTCTGAATTCACATTCATCTTTAATTTCTTTTAATATATGCTGTATTACCTCTATACCTGCGTATTCTTCCTATGACCACCAAAATACTTTTAATTATTTTTTCCAAACAGCATAATGTGTATGTGTATTTTTATTTTTTGGCTCACTTCAATTTCATCATTTATATAATTTTAATAATTATACCATTCCACAGTGGTGGTGTGAGGATTAAAGTAGATATACTATGAATAAGTAGTTAATTGCCTACTAAGGCAATTAAGAAAATGTCTGGAATGACATGCATTTCATAACTGTGTGACCAAGTGACAGAGAGAGAGTACTGAATCCAAAGGCAAACAGTCTCTGTTGGGGAGGGAGAAAAAGAGTAACTGAGATTTGGTTCTATTTCGCTTTCAAGGCAAATGATAATTGGCATATGAGATGTAAATTGTGATATTACTGTGTTGATGTTACTGTGTTCATATTTGCTGTGAAGTTTTCTTTAGTGTAAATGTACAGAAAAGTATCAGAGGATGGTAATTTATCTCTGGGAAACACCGTTCTCAATCTACTAAAGAGCCCAGAACATGATAGCATATAGCTGGTATAATAAGATAAAGTTGTATGGCTTCCTTTGTGAAATATTTTCTCATTTCCGCCCTCCCCTCCCACCTAATTCAGCTATGTTGGTGCATTACATCAATTTCTTAATTATTTATTAATCTAGTATGTTGTAGTAGTGTCTCTTCTTTGAAAATTTCAATATGTATATATTAGAGTGCTGAAACAATCATAAAATGCAAATATATATAATTAATATATATTCAGTAAATTTTGATAGGTTTCTCAATTTAAAAGTGGAAGACCCTGGAGCAACAGGAACTCCCACTCACTGATGGTGGGAATGCAAAATGTTATAGCCACTTGGGAAGGCAGTTTAGCAGCTTCTTACACAAGTAAACATACTCTTACTGTACAATCCAGCAATTGTCATCCTTGGTATTTATGCCAAAGAGCTGAAAACTTACATTCACACAAAAACCTACTCACGGATGTTTATAGCAGCTTTATCAATAATTGCCAAAACTTACACACAATCACGGTCTCCTTCAGTAGGTGAATGGATAAATAATGTTATATCCATGCAATGGAATATTATTCACCAATTTTTAAAATGAGCTATCAGGTCAGAAACATGAGGAAACTTAAATGTATATTACTAAGTATATGAGCAAATATGAAAAGGCTATGTGCTGTATGATTCCAAATACATGGCATTCTGGAAAGGCAAAACATTGGAAATAGTAAAATGATCAATGGTTTCCGGGAGTTGGAGGAAACAGGAGAGATGAACAGGTGAAGTGTAGGGGATTTTTGAGGCAGTGAATTACCATTTTGAGGCAGTGAATTACTGTATTATACTGTAATGTTGGATACATGTCATTACACGTTTCAAAACCAGTGTTTTGAACACCGGTTTTGATGCACGACACCAAAAGTGAACCCTAATGTAAACTCTGGACTTGGGGTGATGATGTGTCAATGTAGTTTCATCAAATGTAATAAATGTACCACTCTGGGGCAGGATGGTGATGGTGGAGAAGGCTGTGCATAGTGGGGTGAAGAGGTATATGGGAGCTCCCTGAACTTTATACTCAATTTTGCTACGAACCTAAACTGCTTTAAAACATAGTCTATATTTTAAAAACTGGGAGACTCCATAACTGATTTAGGTTTATGTTTTTCAGTCAGAGCTAGATTTTAACAACCTAATTCATTTTTAAAATCAGAGATATTAGAGATTGGAAAGTGTTATATTTTTCAAGGTAATCAAAAGCTACTTATACTGTGGAGTATGAAATCATTTGAAAAATAGAAAAAGTATATAACTATCAGATATTTCTATCACATATTCTACCACGTGTAAGGCACATAGTCTGCCTGTGAAGAACATGTCTCTATAATGCCTTTTAGAAACATACAAATATATGAAAGCTTTCCATTTTCAATATTGCAATACTTACATTATTCTAATTTTTATGCAGAATTCCATTTTCTCTCTATATATTTCATTCATTTAGTCTTAACCATACTTTTCACCTGTATATAAGCCTTTCAAATTTAGCAAAACAATCTTGAAAAGTGATGAGACTTAATACAGATTATTGAAAAAAAGAAGTTACTTTTCTTTCCAGTGGTTTGCTGCAAAATTTGGAGATATTATTGCTGCACATTAAGTCAAACTAGTTTTAATGTCAATACATGTTCCATCTCATTGAATCTCCTCAGTTACATGAACTTATATCCTATCTGAGGTTCCAAATCTGATAATAGGATAGGGGAGAGTAAAGCTTATGAAAGAGATTACAAAATAACTAAAACTTAGAAAGCTTTTACTTGAAAAACAGACAATTTCCTTAAGACTTATTGGGAGTTATTTTGAAAGAAAAGTTAGTCTGCTTAATAATATAAACTCAAATCCATTTGAAGCTCAAAACATAAGTTTTTTACATCTGCATAGCTCTATGTAAGATCTATTTTAGAAAAATAAGTCTGAGATATTAAAAAAACAACATTCATAATTCTATGTGGCACTTCAAATGACCATACCCAATACATGTTTCTTAATAATATTTCTGCAATGGCAAAATATTTTCTGTGTTCAGTAGAACAGTTAGCCTGCTGTTGTCACATTTACAAATATAAGGGCCTCCATTAATTTCTGAGGTTACCAAGCTTACAATTTAAAAATGATTTATTATTGCTATGAAACCAAAAATAACTAATCAATCATTTTTACAACAAAAGCCAATTGATACATAACAATTTCTAATTTATGTGTTAAACTGTGTGTGTGTATATATATGTCAATACAACAAATTTAAAAATGTCTTTTCTGTCACTTTTATAATTAAAATTTCCATGTGTCAGAATTCATGTACATATTTAAGTTATCATCTTTATTAGAACACAATTTTTTGTGTTCCAACTGCTTGTGACAATGAGATGTCACATTTTTCTCCTTGGGAATGATAATTGCTCAATTTTGCTACAATAACAATAGCACTTTCTCTGTAAACAACTCTGAATGGTTTGTTGATAACTAATATAGTTTACAATTTATTTTATGATTGCTCTTATAAATGTTTCAACGCTTTCTCATTCCAGTAAGTAAAAACTGATGGGTGCCATGCCTCGTTTATGATGTGCATCTTTATTAGAAACTTTTTCTACCACAGTTCAATCCTTGTAATTTTCTTTCCTTAACCCAACTCCTAAGTCGAAACATTTAGTGAATGCCTGAATGTGCTAGTCATATGTTAGGCACTGAGGATATAAATACAAAGAGGACCTTGTTCTTCTTCTAAGAATTTATATACTAATGGAGTAAAAAGTTAAACTGCAAGTCTTATAAAAGAGCATGGAAGTAGAATGAATCACAATTAATGGTAGCTAATTTTAAAATTCCTCTTCAAGTATGATGAATTAAGCTAGCTAAGAAGAATATATTAGAAACCAAAGCAATCTGATAATAAGCTCATTTATGTAGACCTTCCACACACATTTAACTTTCATAATGACTCAGGTATTTCTTAAATTTTATTTTTGAAGAAAATTCTCTTTAAGAAATAAAGGTATGTGTTAGTACATTTAAATTTAATCTTATGCTGAACTCCTGCTGAAGGGGCATATTTGTTTCTTCATAATTGTAAATTTTAGTCTTTGGATGGACATGAATAGAATAAGAATGATTTAAATATGACTTTAGAAAATTATCTGATTTTGTTAATGATCTTAACTGAAAAATTTTGTTCTTGATCTATTTTGAAGATGAAGCAGAATTTCTTAAATACCTTGAAGTTTCAAGTTTTCTCAGTTTTCTTTTAATAAATAATGTTAAATTTACTAATATTCTAATTGCAAAAGTTAAAAAAAGCATTGAAATTTAGACCCAACAAAAATTTTATAGGATCCTGATGGTGAGAATGTTCTATGGCTAAAAGTCTTAGAATTCATCTAGGTAGCACATAAGATTTAAATAATTTAGTTAGCATTATTCTAGTAAGACAGGCTTATTATCAAATTGCTATGCAGAACAATTACTTCTTAAAAATAAGCATAACTGCAATTATTATTTTTCACTGTACTGCTCTCCTTCATTCCTATATCTTTCCTGGTGAGTAACACAGGAGAACTAATACAACACTGAAAATTTATGGTCTCAAAACTCAAATGGTTTCTCGATGTTTCCTAGTATCTTCCAAAATATACCTAATGAGTTCTCTTCTGCTCATAAAATTTACTATTTTAAAATATCTGTTTTTTTAATCCTTTTATCTTACCACCAGGTGCATTTAACTGTAGCAAGTAACCTCACTTCCAACTTAATAGACAAAATAGAATCTTCTCCACATATCTAAAGCTCCTATTTATTTTTCAAAAAATGTTATATGGTGAACTATTTTTATCATTCATTTGCTTTCCAATCATTTCCTTAGACCATCGATGAAAATGGAAGAGTTATTTCTCCTATTGGAACCAAAATACTTCATCCCTATTCTAAATTCCATGTACTTCAGCACTTAATTGTGTTACTCTATTAATTGCTTCTTGTTTTCCTCATGGGTTGTTTTCCATGAGCATGTATTTCCCATTCTTAAAAATGTATCAACCTTAGAAATTTTTTTGATCTGTTACATTATTTCCTATCTCCCTCTTTCACCTACTTAGTAATAACTCTTCGCATTGTACACATTTCTTTATTTCACACCTACCACAGAATTCATTTTGCATTCGCTTATTATATATTTATTAATCTTTTACTTAACATGAGTCCCTATACTGCATGCTAGAATTATAGTAATAAAGTTTATATTCTATAAGATCCTGAATTCTATTGCTGAGTGCTATGGTTTGAATGTCCTCTCCAAAACTCATATTGAAATTTATCATTGTGATGTTATTAAGAGGTGAGTCTTTACGAGGATACTAGATCATGAGGGTTCTGCTCTCATTAATGGATTAATGCCATTATCACAGGAGTGGGTTAGTTATCCCAGGAGTGGATTCCTGATAAAAGCATACGTTTGGCCCCCATTTTCTCTGTCCTGAGTGCTTGTTCTCAGCAAGGGGATAACCCTTGACAGCTGTAGTCCCCATGCTCTTGGGCTTCCCAACCTCTACTACCATGAGCCAAATAAGCTTCTGTTCTTTATAAATTATCCAATCTGTGTCTGTTGTAATGATAGAAAGCTAAGATAGTGGGAATCAGGAATTAAATATTTTAGATAGTGATAAAGGCTATGAGCAATAATTGGGGAAAAGCGGTAGCATGAATAGAGGGGTGAAAGCCTTTTCTTACAAGGAAATATATAAAGAGACCTGAGGAAGTGATCATGTGGAAATTAAGTAGAAGACTATTTCAGACTTTGATAAAGGTTAGTAAAGATGTCTCAAGGCTGGACTGTGCTAACAATTACAGATAATCTGGTGTCCACTACCAATCCTACAACCACCTTAAAAATGGTCTCTTAGGTCAGAAAACAAATGCAATAAGAGACTGTTAGGTGCTAGTTCCCTAAAAATAGAACCTGTTGGTAAGGCAAAGCAAGGATTTTTTTTTTTTTTTTTTCGTAGAGTGAGGGAGAGCATTTACTTGATAAAAATCTTAGCAATGTCTGGGAGTATGGAAGGCAAAGTTAGAATACTTATCAGCTGTGGATTCTTGTTTAAAGTAGGTCTTTCAATCTAGGGGTTTTATTAGAATTGGTTAAGGGTAATAATATGATTGGAAGAGCAGCAAGAACAGCAAGGAGATAGTATTGAAATCATACAACCCCGAACTATAAAAACCCTGGAAGGGCAACGTAGGAAATATCATTCTGGACATAGGAACAAGCAAAGATTTCCTGACAAAGTCACTAAAAGCAATCACAACAAAAGCAAAAATTCAGAAATGAGATCTAATTAAAGAGCTTCTGCACAGCAAAGGAAACTATCAACAGAGTGAACAGACAACCTACAGAATGGGAGAAAATTTTTGTGAACTATGCATCTGACAAAGGTCTGATATCCAGCATCTATGAAGAATTCAAACAAATTTACAAGAGAAAAACCTCATTAAAAAGTGGGCAAAAGGCATGAATGAACACTTTTCAAAAGAAGACATACATGTGGCCAATCATCATATGATAAAAAGTTCAACATCACTGATTATTAGAAAAATGCAAATTAAAACCGCAGTGAGATACCTTCTCACACCAGTCAAAATGGCTATTATGAAAAAGGCCAAAAGTAACAGATGCTGGCAAGGTTGTGGAGAAAGAGGAACGCTTATACACTGTGGGTGGAAGTGTAAATTAGTTCAATCAGTGTGGAAGACAATGTGGTGATACCTCAAATAGCTGAAAACAAATACCATCTGAGGACTAAGCTCTGATTTTTTATCTTGCCCAAATTTCTACCTAAGGGATCTGGGGAGTCATGCCCAGCAAACCATGGATTCTCATCAGATGGGTTTTATTTGACCCTGTATATTGTGACTTGCTTTTCAATCTGACTCTGGCATAACTTTATGAGACAAGAAAATATTTGACCCCCAAATATACTTCCTTGCCATGCCTTGAAATTGCCCTGCAAAGTCTGTTGTGGGAAAAATCTACATTCTATGGAGAATCACCTTCCCCTTTTGTTTTCTTTCCTTTCTTTGCAGATCCAAGAGATAATCACCTAAGAACCAGGCACCCTTTTAGTTCCAATAAGAAACATTTTACAACCTGCTCTCTCTCTCTCTCTCTGCAGCCTGCTGAGAGATTCCTCTGCACAATGAAACTTGGTCCCCATAATCCTTTATCTTAACCTGAACATTGCATTTCATTGATCCCAGGTCTTCTGATAAGTTCAATTGTCAACCAGAAAATATTTAAATTTATCTATAGCCTGGAAGCCCCCAGTTTGAGTTGTCCTGCCTTTTTGAACCAAACCAATGTATTTCTTAAATGTATTAGATTGATGTCTCATGCGTCCCTAAAATATGTAAAACCAATCTGCACCCTGACTACCTTGGGCCCATGCTCTCAGGACCTCCAGAGGGCTGTGTCATAGGCCATGGTCACTCATATTTGGCTCAGAATAAATCTCTTCAAATATTTTACAGAGTTTGACTCTTTTTGTCGACAATAATCCAGCGCCAAACATGGGGCCTCGGAAAATACTCAGAACCACAAAAGAGTTGCCCAAAACCGGAGCTAAGGTACAAGCAGGGGCCTATTGAAGCCTCACCGAGTTTGAGCTTCTGCATTGATGGAACTGGTAAGCCCTCCTGAGCCCCAGACCTCTTGTTTTGGTTGATGGTCCTTGATTTATTCTTAGCTGTTTTTTTTCCTCTTTCCTCCTAGGAAGTTGTTTAAAATCTTTAGTTTCAGAGGTACATTCAAAAGGGTCTTAATCCGTTGTCTTCTCTCTCGAAATTAATCTCAATTGGCTTGTCTGTGTGTACTTTGTGTGAGGAACTAAACTGGTATTTTTCATAAGTAAATGAGAGGCTGAATTCCTCAGCTCCAAAGAGAAAGGGCAATTTGCTCCTCCCAGCTGAACAGTGCCCTTGAGTGACCGGGGGCCTTGTGGGAGAGTCTGGTGGGTTGACCCCCTGCAATGTGCAGTGGCGCTATAGGAAACTCCCCAACAAATATTAATTTAAAAAGGCTTGTCCAGGAAATGCATATAAGGGCTGATCACCTGGCGTTTTAAGCCCTCTCAGAGGTAATACACCTCTGAAGAAAGTTAGACACGTAAGAGGGTAGAAACAACTCAGTGTTGACACACTGTAGAGTCCTGCCCACAAGCAGCACATATCAATCCACCACACAAAAACCTTAGGCCACGGGTCAGTTCCTCTTTAAAAAAAAAAAAAAAAAAAAAAAAGAGTGGGAAATAAACCCTCCAAAAAAGAGGAAAGGCAAGGTGAGTGGCCCCATAAAGGCACGTCAGCTGGGTTTCTGTTTAATAACTATGGTGCCTTTACTTGCAAGTATTTGTGTAAATGGGAAGATCTTACTAAAGATAACCTAGGTGTAAAGTTTCCAAAATGGGGAACTTTTGATATCCCTAAGTTGGGTTTCTTGCACGCTAGATTAGAACATTTAGGCTCCCAAATCAAAGAAAATGAATGGGAATTATACTTTAGCTGGCACTTAGAATTATCAAAAAGAATAATAAGCTTGCCTCCCTCCAGGAAGTTAACAAAAAAAATTGTAAAACTGTCTCAGAATTAAATTAGTAAAAGCCACTTCTGAAATCAGGAAGGCTCCAGAAACTGTCTCCCTTCTGTTCCTGCTAACCCTCTACTCTCTGAACTTCCTTGTCTGGACAATTTCATTTTTCCTCCTCCTTCCCCTACTCCCTTGCCTCAAGCCACAGGGTGACCAAAAATAGCTAGAGAAAATAATATAGTAGTTGTTTATTTTAGAATAAAACCCACAGGCAGAGGGGATCCTAACATAATACATACTCCCTGGACCAAATCAGAGTTAAAGGCCTTGGTGTCTGAATTTCCCAGTCTGACTGAAAATCCTTTTGGGTTTGCTAAGGCATTCCAATTAACCCTTAAGACTTGTGATCCAAGTTTGTCTAACCTGTATCAGCTGATTGAGCTACTCGTCCCCAAAAACAAAGCTGAACAATGGTTTAAAGTAGCAGGTTGGAAACAGCCTTTAAAAGATTTTGACAAAATAGATGCAACTGGAAAAGATAAATGCAGAGAGCTTTGTAAATCACCTCTGTGAAACTATACGCCACAGATATTCCCCAAGGTTATAAATTGGGCAAGGGTGCAACAATGTAAAATACACCCAAATGAAACCGTGCCTGACTTTTGTGTCAGGTGTGAAAAGACATTCAGTTTTCAGGAATACCTCCTGAAAATTTTGAGCATGGTAGAAGGCTCATTCAAGGTTTAAATAGTTAGCAACCCCAATGAAGATGAATAATGTGGCTTGGGCTTCCTTGCCCACTAGCCACCTAGTCACCCTGGCTAACTAACTGTCACAAACAATCATCGAGAAAGAAAAGGAAACAGTCTCTAAGATTGTGAGTTTACAACTAACACAACTTAGTAAGCAAGTTGGGAGTTTGCAAGGGTCCCATGGTCCCCAGAGATCTAAGTGACCCGAAGAGGAAGCAATTTGCCGCTTTTGCAAAAAGAAAGGAGATTATTATTATTATTATTATTATTATTATTATTATTATACTTTAAGTTCTAGGGTACATGTGCACAACGGGCAGGTTGTTACATATGTATACATGTGCCATGTTGGTGTGCTGCACCCATTAACTCGTCATTTACGTTAGGTATATCTCCTAATGCTATCCCTCCCCCCTCCCCCCACCCCACAACAGTCCCCGGTGTGTGATGTCCCCCTTCCTGTGTCCATGTGTTCTCATTGTTCAATTCCCACCTACGAGTGAGAACATGTGGTGTTGGGTTTTTCGTCCATTGCAATAGTTTGCTGAGAATGATGGTTTCCAGCTTCATCCATGTCCCTACAAAGGACATGAACTCATCATTTTTTATGGCTGCATAGTATTCCATGGTGTATATGTGCCACATTTTCTTAATCCAGTCTATCATTGTTGGACATTTGGCTTGGTTCCAGGTCTTTGCTATTGTGAATAGTGCCACAATAAACATACGTGTGCATGTGTCTTTATAGCAGCATGATTTATAATCCTTTGGGTATATACCCAGTAATGGGATTGCTGGCTCAAATGGTATTTCTAGTTCTAGATCCCTGAGGAATCGCCACACTGTCTTCCACAATGGTTGAACCAGTTTACAGTCCCACCAACAGTGTAAAAGTGTTCCTATTTCTCCACATCCTCTCCAGCACCTGTTGTTTCCTGACTTTTTAATGATGGCCATTCTAACTGGTGTGAGATGGTATCTCATTGTGGTTTTGATTTGCATTTCTCTGATGGCCAGTGATGATGAGCCGTTTTTCATGTGTCTTTTGGCTGCATAAATGTCTTCTTTTGAGAAGTGTCTGTTCATATCCTTTGCCCACTTGTTGATGGGGTTGTTTGTTTCTTTCTTGTAAATTTGTTTGAGTAAAGATGGGAGATTTTAAAAATGAATGCAAAAAACTTAAATGGATGCTTGCACAAAAGGGGCAAAGGGCCCCAGAGGAAAGCACCAGAACAACTCAAAAATAAGAATAGGGATCCTCTGAGAGAATAGAGAGGGTTTTCCCCCAAATTCTAATTAATGCTTTAGGAGAAGTAGAAATATCCATAAATTAGGAAAATACTAAAGCTACACTGTCAGTCCTTAACCCTACCTTGATCAAAAACCCTTTCCCTTGGAGTAAAGAAAAAGTCCAAATGGTAGGGATTTCAGACTCTCCTATTATAGCCTTTAAATCAAATCCCCTTTAATTTCAATTAGAAGAACTAGTGGGGCATTATATTTCTCTTAAAGTAAATAATGCCTCAATATGCCTGCTGGGATGGGATTTCCTAGAGACCCATAATGCTCGCATCTCATTTTCATAGAAGGGAGAAATAATTCTCAACTTGGGAGACACAGAAGACTTACAAAAGCCCACATGTAATATTGTGCTTGTGAAAGTTAATCAAGATTCTGGACAGAAAGAATTAGACCCTTTCTTATCTAAGGTACCAGATTCCTTACAGGCAAGCTCTTCCACAGATATTGGGAGAATTAAGTCAGCAGTCTGTATAGACATAACAATATATAAATCCAAACCTCTGCCAAATGTAAGGCAATATCCCCCTAGAGCCAAAGCCTTACTAGGAATCAAACCAATCATTCAGGACTTTTGAGCAAAGGGCTCATAATACCCTGCACCAGCCCTTGCAATACACCAATCCTCCCAATTAAAAAGCCAAGTAGGAAAGGCTGTAGATTTGTTCAAGACCTAAAAGCGATACATAAAATAATAATTCCTAGACACCCTGGTGTTCCTAACCCCTACGTCTTACTGTCTAATATTCCTGTCACTGCCAGCCACTTATCAGTTATTAATTTTTGTAGTGCATTTTTCAGCCCACCTATAAAGCAAAATAGCCAGTATCTTTTTGCTTTCACTTGGGAAAATCACCAATACACATGGACAGTCTTACCCCAAGGCTACGCTAAAAGTTCTACTTATTTTTATCAAATACTAAAGGCAGATTAAGACGACATTGAATTTCCAAATTCTACTCTACTCTACTCTAATTCAGTATGTGGATAATTTATTCTTGTGTTCATCCTCCCTACTAAAATACAGAGAAGGCACTGTCCAACTATGAAAACAGCTTCCTTTTAAGGGACACAAAGTTTCAAAAGATAAATTACAATTTTGCCTCCCCCAAGTTAAATATTTGGGACATCTGAATTCCCCAAGGGGGCTATTAATAAACCCTGAGAGAGTCTCTGCAGAAGTTGGAGTCCAAACTACTCCTTAATGGCCCAATCCCTATACAAAAAAATGAAGACAAACCCAGCCAAACCCAATCCACTGGGAAGAGGGGGGAAAAAAGCACATAGATAATCTGAAACAGGCTCTCACCCAAGCACCTGCTCTAGGCCACCCCAATTATATTTTTCCCTTTTCCCTTTTTGTACTTGAAATAAAGGGGAGTGGTCTAGGAGTATTAACTCAAAAACATGGTGACACTCACAGACCAATTTCTTATCTCAGTCAACAGTTAGATCCATTTGCAAACGGGCATCCTCCTTGTGTGAGGGCTATATTAGCTGCAGCCACCTTATGCAAAAACGTCGAATGATTTGTCCTAGGTTCCCCCCTAACCAGCTATGCCCCCCACTCTGTGAAATCTCTTTTAAGCTCTCACCACACTCAACACTATTCTGTTACTTGCTTCACCTCTTAGGAGATACTCCTCTTTCTGCCCCCAACATCTAACTAATATCTTACTCTCCTCTAGGGGGAGATTTACAGGAAACTCCCATTGAGAACACTAAATTAATTTAATTCACAGATGGTTCTTATTTAAGGGACAACCAAGGGCATTACCAGGCAGGATATGCCATAACAGACATAATCAAAAGTAGCCAACCCTAAGGAGTCAAATTAGCCCCGATGGCTGAATTAATAGCACTAACAAGAGCTTGTAATTTAGCTATAGGAAAAGTGGTAAATGTATATATCAATAGCCAGTATGCTTTCAGAGTAGCCCATGATTTTAGCATGCTGTGGAAACAAAGAGGATTTCTTACTTTATCTGGACAGTCCATACAAAATGGGCACCAAGTCTCGAATTTACTAGAAGCAATTCAGATGCCAAGGCAACTTGCAGTCATAAAAATTTCTGGGTACTCAAAGGCTAACACTGAAGAAGCAAAAGGAAATAATCTGGCTAATGCTGCAGCAAAGAATGCTGTCCTAGGAAAGATGGCCCATCATGTGTGGGTGTGTACCTTTCGTCCTACAAATACCTGCACTAACTTTCTTTTACAGCATCAACTCCTCAAGAGAAACAAACCTGGCAGCAGAATGGAGGCATGTTAGACCCAAGTGAGGAATTTTGGCTAGGGCTTAGCAAAAAACCCATAGTTCCCATAGGTGCACAATTGCCTTTCCTTCAGTTTTTTCATGAAATGACTCACTGGGCCCCTGAAAAAATGGTATCATGGAGAAAACAATACTTTTGGAAACCGTCTTCCATGGTAGCCCAAAAGGGTATACTCTCTATATACTATATGCCCCAAAACAGAACACTGGCAAGCCCTTATATGGCTCCCAAGATCATTTTCCTTTGCCAGTCCCTTTGAAGTATGGCAGCTGAAATTTATCCAGATGCTGCCACCCCAAAATTTCAAATATGTGCTGGTCTTAGTTTGTATGATTTCTCACTGGGCAGAAGCATTTCCTTGTCGGAGGGCTACTGCTTTAACAGTAGGGAAAATTTTGTTAGAATCATTCCAGTTTGGGGAATTCCTTCTGAACTGCATAGTAATCATGGCACTCATTTTACTGGATAAGTTGTTCAATTCATTTGCAAAATGTGGCCCATAATACAATGTTTCCATTGTGCCTACCATCCGCAATCCTCTAGGTTGGTGGATGAACAAATGGCACAATGAAAACTCAGCTAAGTTGATGGAGGCTTTTAATCTCCCTTGGTCAAAAGCCTTCCCCACTGGTCTTGCTTAATCTTCGATCCACTCCTTTTGGAAAACATTGTTTATCACCCTATGAAATCATAACAGGGAGACCTATGAGGCTGGATGAGGGTTTATAAGAACCGACCTAACTCAAAGGGGAAATATTGCACTATCGTCAAGGGCTCCTCAAAACCTTAACAAATAATACAGACTTGGTAACAGAATCTTTCACACTTAGCTTCTGGGGGCTAATAGCCCAAAAGACCACGGATTACAGCCAGGCAAATTTGTGTATTGAAAAAGACACCAACTGAAGTATTCTCTGCAATCCCACTGGAAAGGACCTTATCAGGTGCTTTTAACCAACTCTTGTGCTGCAAAGTTAAAGGGAGTCACTTCTTCGTTTCTTGGATTCACATTTCACACCTAAAATGAGTGACCAACCACATTCCTAACCATGCCTGGACTTGTGAACTGGTCTCTGACCCCCACCTGTGAATCAAGAGAAGACTGGAGGCTCAGCCCGTCTCTAGGGCTACAATGAAAGTCAACATACTTCCAGAGACACTGGGTCAGGCCAGTCCTCATGAAATCTAAAATAACTCTCATTCTTACTTTCCTTGCTATAGAATATTGCTGAATGTTTTCACTGAAACCCTTAAGAAGCTGTTTGGAATCTATGCACTGTTCCTTGGTATAACGTTCTAAATGGATGCGGCTATACGGTCCCTTGTTAAAGCCAGGAAAATGTTTTACTTGTTCATTCTCACTCCCACAATCTCCTCTGTCTACCTACTCCACACTCCTTCTCTTTTCAAACCTGAAAACTTCTCCTGGTCCCCTGCAAACCTCAGCAATTTTCCTGCAGGCAGAGCCCACATCATTTGGTATGATATAGATCAGGATGCAATGAAGAGTGTTATGTGGAACAACACCATTCTAAACATTCCCTGAGGTCCCCCTTTTTTTAGGGTAGCTCTCTTGTAGGGCTGCAACCAGATATGATGCCCTGCAGGAATACTTGCCTAACAGTGCCTCAGGATGATCACTGAGGGGGTCTAACCAGGTAGAACATTGCATAACAGTAAATATTAGGCATAATCAGTTGAGACAATTGCCTGGTTACAATGGGAAAATTCTAGCAGCCTCCTGTGTAAACGGCCATAGCATGGCCTGTCCAAATAACTACCAGCCCTGTGCTTGCAGCTGGATGCCTCTATCCAGCATGAACCACACTGACACTGCCCTTAGAGAACTATTGATGGGAGTCAATTGGTGGACAGAGGTCACTGACAGCACACATTCCACCCTAAGAGCAGGGCGCAACTGGGAAATCTTATGGAATACCTAGACAAAGGTATACTTAGGTGTAACCTCCACTCACTTAACAATTGTTTGGGATACCCAGCAGTTCTGGATTACTCCATTTATACAAATTGTACAAATGCCATCAGTATACAATGGAAACAGCATTCCTGGTGAATATACAAAAATTGGCCTTCCAAAAAACTAAAGCATGACCTTGCTGGAGGAAATGGAGCTGGGCTAGGGATACTGGGGCAAGCTGAGTTCATGACTAATAAAGAGAGACATTCTTTAGAAAAAAATTCGCTATCAAAAATAGGCCACAGAGTAGGAATGCTCTTTCAGGAATACGGAAAAGGATGGGAAGCTGCTTTAAAAGATAATGCAGCACTCATCAAATGGCTAAAAGAAACCAGACAAACCATAAAAACATACTTCCAAACCCAAAGATGGGGATAAGCATGTACTCTTATCCAACAGGGGCTTATGTCTATTTTATTACAAATGGAATCTGAGGTGGCTATGAAGCAATGGCCTACAATCCTCAGTACTGAGGTACAATCCAAACACATGTGGAAAAGTATATGGTCCCCCAAACTTAGGGAGATTTTTGGATGGAAAATGTGACCTTAAACATTGTTTAAGAGCACAGGCACCAAAGTTAAATGAGGCTGAAAGGTACTCTGTTGTTTCACTGGCAGGCATTGGGACTATTGTAAACAACACAAGAATACTCCCCCTGGGAAATACGTGGGCTATTTTAGCTGATAGCACATGGCATCCCATCTCCCTTTCAGATTGTAAAAACAGGAAAGGAAAATGGCTATGCCCTCAAATCACTTGGAACCCTGTTTTTTTCCAAACTTGGCCTCTACTATCCACCCCCATGCGACATAGCATCTGGTGTATGACAAAGGGCCATTTCTGTTGGGAGGAACAACAAAATGACACTGTAGAATTATATAACTTCTCCTGTGGCAAAACCTCCTTTTGTTTCCCAAATGCCAGTATATGATGCAATACAAAAGTGGTGGGAAAAAGAGATTTGTTCTCCGTTAACAAGTCCTATAACAATTTAGACATTGAGGACCAGGCATTCTTTGCATTTAATTTGCATCCTCCTCAGGATGTTACACTTGTGGAGATAAATTGGCCAGAAGAGAAACTGAATTTATTGGATCCCGATTTAGTGTTGGTCCTATAATCCTCAAATAAGATTTATCATAAGGTTCAAATGACCCTTAATAAATAGGGTAAACACGTCGTGAGTCTAATCAAAGAGTGTGATGATGCATGCAGTGGGTTTTTTGGCTGGTTAGGTTGTTTACTGCCCTCTGACTCTACCTATAGCCTTCTTGGATGCCTGATCTTTGCTAGATGTATGGTATTTGTCACTATATTAGCATTATGTATCTCTAATAAATGTTATGACAGATACAGCAAAAGAAAGAAGGTATAATTAAAGACCTGGAGCATGATAGCTCACAAAATAGATAAGATCTGGGATTTTTTTTTTTTTTTTTTTTTTTTTTTTTAAGACTAAACCCTAGGCCTGACTCCATCTCACCCCTTGAACTATTGGCTATTACATCAGGTCAGATCGCGTCCCCTCCCCATGACACAAATCACAAATATTTAAAACTATTACCACTAACGAAGGTACTCTAGGAATAAGCCTCCTAGCACCTGGGGAGCTGCTGCTGTTTTGTTGGGCTGCATATCCATTCTGTGGAATGCTTTATGGCCAAGGGGGTGGTGGGGACTGAGGACTAAGCTCTGATTTTTGATTTTGCCTAAAGGGTCTGGGGAGTCATGCCCTACAAACCATGGATTCTCATCAGATGGGTTTTATTTGACCCTGTATATTGTGACTTGCTTTTCAATCTGACTCTGGTATAACATTATGAGACAAGGAAGAAAATATTTAACTCCAAGATATATTTTCTTGCCATGCCTCGAAATTGCCCTGCAAAGTCTCTTTGGGAAAAATCCACATTCTATAGAGAATCACCTTCCCCTTTTGTTTTCCTTCCTTCCTTTCCAGATCCAAGAGATAACTAAGAGCCAGGCACACTTTTATTTCCAATAAGAAACTTTTTACAAACTGTTCTCTCTCTGTAGTCTGAGAGATTCCTTTGCACAATGAAACTTGGTCCCCACAATCCTTTATCTTAACCTGAACATTCCTTTCCATTAATCCCAGGTGTTCAGATAAACTCAACCAATTGTCAACTAGAAAATATTTAAATTTACCTATAGCCTGGAAGCCCCTGCTTTGAATTGTCCCACCTTTCTGAACCAAACCAATGGATTTCTTAAATGATTTGATTGATGTCTCATGTCTCCCTAAAATACATAAAACCAAGCTGTACCCCGACCACCTAGGGCACATGTTCTAAGGACCTCCTGAGAGCTGTGTCACGGGCCATGGTCACTCATATTTGGCTCAGAATAAATCTCTTCAACTATTTTACCAAGTGTAACTCTTCTCGTCAACACATTCAATCAAGAAATACCATTACCAGATATATACCCAAAAGAATATAACTTGTTCTATTATAAAGACAGTGAATGTGTATGTTCATTGAAGCATTATTAACAATAGCAAAGACTCAGAATCAACCTAAATGCCCATCAGTGTTAGACTGGATAAAGAAAATCGGGCACATATATATCATGGAATACAATGTATCCATCAGAACAAGATCATGTCCTTGGCAGAAACATTGATGGAGTTGGAGGCCATCAGTTTTCTAGGTTTTGCCAACTGAACATTAATATTTGAAGACATGATCAAATCAGATCTTCACTGTTATGTAAGATGTCATGGTCATGTGTCACTTTTTCAGGGATGATTGCTTCAACCTCTACACTGTTGCAGTTCCCCGTTCTTTTGTTGGGTGATCATTTGTTAAATCATTTGATTTCACAAAGTTGGCACAGCAGCATTTGAGGTTAACACATATAAAAATACTGCAATGCAAATAAAAACTTATAGAAGGATTATTATCACAATTTTCAGCCAGGATCCAAGAGTGCTCATATTAAGTAAATAGAATAAGTCCCATCCTTAATATGAAGAGCTAACAAAACCGGACATAGGATCATTAGACAAATTATCTAGTTTTACTTTTTCATTTGTTTTGTAATCTGCTAGTAATATTGACAATTCCACAGAAGTCTACAGAAATATTTTGCACAACAGTATTCCTTCAAAACGCTGAATACTTCCCTTTATGAGGCCAATATTCTATCTAAAATGGCTCTGTTTTCAAATACTGCATGCCTGATTTCATGAACTCCATTGAGTGAAGAGTATAATGCCCTGGTGAGATTGTCTGCCTTTCCTGCTATTTTGACATACTCTTCTGAATAAAAGATCATTTTTCTACTTTTTGATACTCTTATAAAGCATGAAGTAAAAAGTCTTAGTAGTAGAAAGTATAATCCAGAATTTGTCTTGAGTGGTTAATGTTTTAGTTTTCAAAGTAAGTTTTTCCTTCTGGTTTTTGTTGTTGTAAAGTTATCTAACAACCTCCTTTTCATAGAGGAATAGCTAATGGAACAAAACAGAGTGTGAATGATGGCAGATCAGGTACTATCCTGAAGTCAGACATCAGTTTGCAAGGATAAAATGGAACTGTCTAGTTTTTAGGTGGTAACCAAGAGGCTTTTGTGCTACAAATGCATACCAGCCATTTGGGGTCACCAACAATCTGTTTTGGGCCAAATTATCCATAGAATAATGTCACATAGTTTTGTAATAGTCCAGTGGTCAGGCGATAACATTTGCCCTGTTGTGATCATTTGGTATATTTAAATCAAAAGAGAAGTTGTGCATCTTTTAAGACTCGTGAAATTACAGCAGCCTCCAAATATATACAATCTGTTCCCTAGTTCCCTTCCAATTTCTATTTCTGGGAAAGTTCTATTACAATAGCTAGTCCCCTCAAAAAGTTCCTCCTCAGTGTTAATTTAGTAGAGAAAGGAGCCTCCTTTTCTAGGTATGACATGAGAAATGGTTTTAGATTTTTGACTCTTATGACTAATCATGATGTTTGCCATCCAAAATATCACCTATCAATTTAATTCTATTACCTAGCAAACCAAATGATACATTTCACAAACACTATAACAAAGGAAAGCTATGTGACTCCCATAAGAACACATGTAAATTACCACCAATTTGTTTGGTTGTATGCTTTAACCTACTTGTGAATAAATATGAGCCAGCTATTGTATTCAAACCAAGGAGACACT
This sequence comes from Homo sapiens, assembly GCF_000001405.40. Classification (NCBI taxonomy): domain Eukaryota; kingdom Metazoa; phylum Chordata; class Mammalia; order Primates; family Hominidae; genus Homo; species Homo sapiens. Next base: position 97,510,135 of record NC_000011.10, on the reverse strand, counting down.
AAGGAAGCAGAAAGCAATATTAAAAATATGGGCCTTAAAAGTAACTTAGTTAATGGTAGCCTTAGACAAGAGAATCATAAGGATATACAGGAGAAGAAAGAGCAAACGAATACAGATAAAACTGTGACTATCTGTATTAGCATTCCATGGACCATAGGTGGAAGCTGTTTATATTTACTGTAGTTGTCTAATTGATCTAGGATTATCAGGTGGAAGCTGTCTCTTACCAAAAGGTGTCTGCTGCTGAAGAGTTCCTAATAGTCCTCAGCTTGAGGTCTTTACAAAGAACCAACTTCCTATAATTTAAGTATTATACCTTTTAATTAAGATGTATGAATCCAAGGATCAATTCCTTGACATATCACCATTGTATTAATTGTCAAAAAAAAAATCTGATAGTGTTTTTTCCTCCAGGGCTCAAGAGCAGTCTTCACAGATGTTTCTTACTGAACACATAGTTTGTGGTAATTTAGGAAAAAAAAAATGAGCATGCCTATTATTAGACTATTGCATTAGTTGCTGCCAATATTTGCCTGTGTATGTTTGCAATAATAATGTGTAGTGAAGAATAAAAAGTGATAGCTGTATATGTGTGAGCTAGCATATATTAACTCATAAGGGAAGGGAGGAACAGAAGAGTTGATCTTATTGAAGCCTATGGACGCACCTTAGGTCAAAAGTCAGCAAACTCAGCCAACACGCTCTATCTGACCTGTGGCCCATATTTTAACAGTCCTACTTCCAAGTCGATCTCTTCATAAGCACTTTTCCTCAGTCCTAGGTAATCCTTTAGGTTCTCTTTACATTTTTAGCTACTCTTGTATTAAAATTTAATAATTATTTTCATTAAATTTCCTCTGTGTAAATAATCATGTGGTTTCTTTCTTCTGACTGGACACAGACTGATAGACTAGCCAAAATTTCTGGTGAATACAATGAGTTTACTATCTTGACATATTTGCCTCCAGTGAGGAATATTATTCTAGGGGTAAAGTGAGATACGTTACAGTTTAACCTGCCTGATACTTTCTTGTTTCTGTCATAGCATATGACCCATTAGCAAACATGAATAAAGCTAAACTATAGGGTTTCTAATAAACTTATTTGAGGTATAGAGAGCTTACAGGCAGAAGTTAGGAGTTTTTTTTTTATCAGATAATGGAAGAAGAAATGCAGGACTTAAAGTATTACAGTCATGGACAGGGGTGAGAAATAATAGAACAATTTCATTGAAGGTAAGCTTATTTGTTGAGAAACTTATTTTCAGTAAGCGGCAGAGATTGTACAGCAAATAAGGGACTATGAATCTTCAACAAAGCTCTAAAACCAAGTTGGCAGATAGATCCAATAGTCTAGCTATTGCCTTTTATACAAAGGTGGGTCACAGAGAGACTGTAGCAATCGTACTTCTGATAATTGTCATGAGATAAAGTCAAAATCCCAGTGACTAGTTCAGACCCCTCACATGATAGAAACATTTATGATAATTAGGAAGGAGAGGAAAGAAATCAGAGCTTTGATCCAATATGAGGCATATGTCACAGGCACCACTATGAAATTTCTCAAGTCGAGGGTTCAAGGAACCCCAGAAGATTGTATTTTTTTTTTTTAAGACAGAGTCTTGCTCTGTCGCCTAGGCTGGAGCGCAGTGGCGCGATCTCGGCTCACTGCAAGCTCCGCCTCCCGGGTTCCCGCCATTCTCCTGCCTCAGCCTCCCGAGTAGCTGGGACTACAGGCACCCGCCACCGCGCCCGGCTAATTTTTTTTGTATTTTTAGTAGAGACGGGGTTTCACCGTGGTCTCGATCTCCTGACCTCGTGATCCACCCGCCTCGGCATCCCAAAGTGCTGGGATTGCAGGCGTGAGCCACCGCGCCCGGCCAGATTGTACTGTTTCTAAGATAAGATCGTGGCCCATAGCTGTGAGAAGGTTTCAAATGAGTTTTTGTGGCAATAAAAATTCTCAAATGTTGGCTCCGACAATTTGGTAATAATGTAAAGCTGAGCTTTTTTTTTTTTTTAGGGCAGTCAGGGAAAGAACTACCTTGATAAACTCCTAGCATCTCAGAGGAGGTTGGGTAAATTTCGTACACTTATGTAGTTTTGAATTGTACCATAATGTGGGTCTTCCTTCATGGAGGCTTGATTAGGACTGAGACGATCATGAGAGAGTAGTTTAGGATTAGCAAACACAGAAAGTCAAGTATTTTGACACAAGGGCTTCTAAGAGGCGTAAGGATAAATAATAATTTAACATTGTAGCATATAGGTTGAAGTTTTCTGTTGACTAAATTTGGGAGTGGTTGCCTTTGGGAGTGAACAGTAAAGTTATTGGCAATTCATCTTCTTGAAGAGTTTTTTGAAATACTCAAGTCAGGTTGTTACAGGTAATGGAATAATAAAACCATGTTAGTGAATATAGCCTAAAGTTAAACTAATGTAGATTAAAAATTGATTAAGAATAGATAATTTCAATTGTTTAAACTCTTGTACACACTATTTGGCAATGCAAATCAAAGGGACTGAAAAAATATCTCCATATCTTCAGGACTCATCAGCTTCAGGAACCAAGCCAAAATGGAGACAAAAGTTGAGCAGTAGTATTTTTTAATAAAAACGGCACTGATAGTTCCACATCAACATTACTGGGATACTGTTTCCCTCATTTCTTTCCACATTATCATTTAGGTATGAATGCCATTGAACTACTCTAATTAAGGAAGATATTATCTAAACTGGTTGATCCCTAAATTTTAATGACTATGTGGATGTCTGATCCGACTTTTAAAACCATGTATAATTTTACCTTTACATTTAAAATTACTATTTGTACAGTTACAAAATTTTGCATTAGCATAATTTACCATATTTTACAATGACAACAAATATCCATTTTGACTTTTAGTATATTAACTAGATTTAGCACATTTTATAATGTGACAAAATTTAAGACATTTTCATATATGTCAGCTCATTTGAATCACACAGTAATCTATGACAGAGGCAAGGAAGGCAGACCATTTTCCTGAAGCATATAATATAGAAACTGTGAGACATAGAAACTGCCACATCTGTGTCTAGTAAGATATTAAATAACAGAAAATGGTGTTGGATTTATGGTTTATCCACCAAGTATTCTTTCACTCCTTCATTTTTCATCTATACCCCCATTCTATAATTTAAAAATTAACATGATAAATGAAGCACTGCTCATAAGTGAGGTTTTATAAGGTGTTTTTTGCGAGACTAAATTGTATATATTAATGGTAAAATTTAAAATGTACTCTCTGGCTATAAAAAAATGGGCAGATTTTCAGGTTTTCCCAGCATGCTAAGATTTCAATAAAAACTGCCAATAAAGAAATTAAAGAATGGATTTTTTTTTCTATGGAAATCCAGGCTCCTTTTGTAGAATAAAAAGGTCCTTAATCATTATTATTAGTCCAGCACTTGCAGGCTGCTACATGATTAAAATTTTATTTTAATTTGCAGTCTTTACTATAGCAAAGCTTTTAGAGAACTTAGTGAAATGCACAACTCTTTCAGGTTACTCCCATTAACTAGACACATCATTGTCAATAGAAATGAGAAAGAAGTGAAATTTCGGTTTTGACATGCAAATTAGTAGCCTAAGCTCCTTACTTTCAGAATTTATGTATCTCAGCTGTCACAACAACCTTTTCCTGCAGCGAAGTAGGTGTGTTGTGGCATCTCTTAATATAGGGATGCTAAAGTTAAACAAGGTGTGTGATGTGGCTGTTTGTATATGACGTGCAAAAACATTCATCCAGGCTATTACTTGAATATATGGAATTTAAAAGGATAGGCTGGAAAGCAAAGGAATTATCATGCTAAGTCAGAACTATGATTCATCTAGCATAGCAGTGAGTAGCCAACAGAGCTTTTAAGTAAACTTTTAGAAAAATAGATTTGTCCTTTCTCAAGGAATTTTGAAGGTTAGACTTACAAAACATCGGATGTATGCAGGCAACGTGTATACAGGAAAATCATCAAGTACCAGACATAATGGCCTGGACTTCCTACTACCTAGTCATTCTTCACAGCTGTTTTTCATAGGGATTTTTATTACCATTTAATAGATGAGAAAATTAAAGTACAGAGAAGTCAAGAAAGTACCCAAGATTTCAAATTACTCAGTGCTAAAGTGAGGATTCAAATTGCATTGGTATTTTTTATCCAAAAATTTTCTGGTTTCCTTTTTAAAATCTTCCTGGCTGGGCACAGTGGCTCATGCCTGTAATCCCAGCACTTTGGATGGCTGAGGCAGGTGGATCACGAGGTCGGGAGTTCAAGAGCAACCTGGTCAAGATGGTGAAACCCCGTCTCTACTAAAAATACAAAAAACTTAGCTGAGCATGGTGGTGGACAGCTGTAATCCCAGCTGCTTGGGAAGCTGAGGAAGAGAATTCCTTGAACCCGGGAGGTGAAGGTTGCAGTGAGCCGAGATCACGCCACTGCACTCCAGCCTGGGCGACAGAGCGAGACTCCATCTCAAAACAAAAACAACAACAACAAAAAACTTCCTTACGCGGAAGGCCCTTCCCCACTGTCTTTATTTGACTGACACTTAAAAAAAAGTATGTGTATAAATATGTGTATGTATGTGTGTGTATATATATCTTTTACTATAAAACTGTCCTTAGCTTTCTACAAATAAGTTGATTTTCTCATTGGTGGTATCATATTTTTTATATTTAATTCATCTCATAATAGTTTATATGCCTATCTCCTTCACTAGGTAGTGTGCTCTTTCATGACTAAAATGGTCAGCTTCAGTCCTTAATCATGATTACACTCCAGTTGACTAACATGGGTCTTTCACATAGTAGGTGCTTGTGCTCAATAAATATTTAGTTTATGAATGAATAAACTGATTTCTGGATTTTGTTGGAGGAAAAGATATACAACTTGTATTAGCTTTGATAAATGTTCATTTCTTGGTTTTAAAAATAAGTGTTTAGTTGTAGTCTGGCCAAAATTTAAAACCAACATGGCTCATCAGTTTCCCCTTTAGTTACAGGAGGACTCAGGCCTAGTCCAGGCTGTTATCTATCCATGTTACTTAGCCATAATTCCTTCGTGATACAATATTCTCATTCATATTAACCTCTTCCTCAGCCTGCCACTGCACATGGAGTGTTCAAGGAGCAATTTAGGGCATGATATTCTTGGCAATGTCCCATTTTCTTTTTTTTTTTTTTTTTTTTTTTTTTGAGACAGAGTCTCCCAGGCTGGAGTGCAGTGGCGCAATCTCGGCTCACTGCAAGCTCTATCTCCCGGGTTCACGCCATTCTCCTGCCTCAGCCTCCTGAGGAGCTGGGACTACAGGCGCCCGCCACCACCCCCGGCTAATTTTTTGTATTTTTAGTAGAGACGGGGTTTCACTGTGTGAGCCAGGATGGTCTCAATCTCCTGACCTTGTGATCCTCCTGCCTTGGCCTCCCAAAGTGGTTGGATTACAGGCATGACCCACTGCGCCCAGCCGACTCTGACCTATTTTCAAAACATTTATTTTTGTGTGGGTGGATATGTCCTATTACTACCTTTTTTTTTTTTTTTTTTTGAGATGGAGTCTAGACATGTCACCCAGGCTGGAGTGCAGTGGCACGATTTCAGCTCACTACAACTTCTGCCTCTCAGGTTCAAGTGATTCTCCTTCCTCAGCCTCCCAGGTAGGGCGGACTACAGGTACCCACCTCCATGCCCAGCAAAATTTTGTATTTTTAGTAGAGATGGGGTTTGGCCTTGTCTGGCCGGGCTGGTCTTGAACTCCTGACCTCAAGTGACCCACCTGCCTCAGCCTTCCAAAGTGCTGGGATTACAGGTGTGAGCCACTACGCCCAGCCTGTTCTGTTACTATTGATGGTAGATAAACTGAGGTTGAATATGCAATATGTTTATACCAACCATCTGAACAGAATACTACAGATTTTCTTTATTTTTTTTTAACTGAGTGTTAGTGTCAACTTATCTTCAGTACAAATTTGAAATTCAGTTTATTGTATGACCTAGGATAAACAAAATTATATTTCTGAGCATTAATTTTCATATATAATAATTATTGCAGCTCAGAGTTATCTGGAAAACTAAATAATATAGTGCATGTGAAACTGTACCAGGCAAAAGGTATTCCCTAACAGGTTCTTTTCTTTTACTATTTTCCATTTAAAGACGTCTCATTCTTCAGAATGTTGTATCTTTGATAGCCTTTGTTGTAGGGGAAGCCAAAACAAGTATTGTCAATTTTCTGTTTCTTTTTGCATTTTTTCCTCCAGTTCTATGTACTATTGAATTATTAATATTCTTCTTCCTCTTTTTCTTTTCCCCTCAAACTTCATATCAAAGTGCTCACTATATCTCTGGCTGGAGCTAGGCTGTGGCAGGCAGAAGGTGATGAAGCCTAGGTTCTGCTCTTCCTGCGGTTGTCCTTTAAATATTTCTTTCTTTGAACAGATTCTCATGATTTATCTCATTCACATTTCATGTTATTTTCTCTCCCCTCTTCATCTGTCTGTTGAGGTGCCTGAAACATGTCTCAAAGCAGCTCAAACTTTTCCATAGTTTTCTCTCAGAATGTACTCTTCATTTACAAACAGAACTGTTTGTTTCTCAAAAACAAAACAGTGCAAGTCATAGGGTAATAATCATTTATTCTAATTTTGCTCAGAGTCACGGGTCTCTTTAATGGCTGAGCAGTCCCAAGCCTGTCTTCAAGGCTAGGAGAGTGCTAACTTCCAAAATAGTTGAATAGCACATTTTCTAAGCTACATTGTACCAGAATTATCTCACTTTTATACAAGTTCAAAATATCAAAGATTTGATATTTTTGTTCTTCGATGTCAATTTTTGATGACCCTTAAGGCTACTCTGCTCTGCATAGTAAGACACAAATTAAGAAAAAAAAATGGTTGACAAAGTGGAGAGGATTAAAAAATTGGGACAGAGAAATTTAATAAAAATGTTTATTACACATGCCTAGTGTATGTTTAAGTTTGCAGTCTAGTTATTATAACATTTTACTATCCCAGGAGATGCTACTTTCCATTGCAAGCCAGGGCTACATCTTATTAAACATAGCTAGCATGTCTTAGCAAGAGCAGTGTAATAGAGAGAGAGAGAAAAAATTACATCTCACACAGAAGGCCCTGAGCTCAAGATCCGATGCCCAATACATTATACTGTTGTTTTGTTTTACTTTTTTGGTTGTGTTCCCAGTGCCAAATCTGGTTTGTAATAGGCGGTCAAAGGTACTCCCAAATGATTGAATCGATAAATTAGAAGAACTTCTTAACATGTTAAAAATTGACGTTGAACCACAACTATCTTTTTGTTTACTTGAGGTTTAGGAAATAACACATATAATTCAGTAAAGGTTATTTAAAGTACCTTGCTAAAGATCAGGTTATTTAAAGGCAGCAAGTTGAGACTGTTTTGTTTTAATTGTAAATCACAGATAAGTAGCAATGGAACCTAGAAATGTTAGAAGGACTTTTATCATTTTAGACATTTGCTTCTACTCTCCACTCATGGCCTTGTAACTTCAGCAACAACAAAGTAAAGGAAATTTACTCTCCCATGCTGTGTGCTATACTTCTTAACCGAACTGAATCAAGTTCACAGATTGTACACACATCCTTTAAAATGGCATCATGCTGACTCAACACACTGACCTACAGCCTCTATTAGGAGCAGAGTGACTCTCCTATGGGGATGTCTTAGAATGCCATGCATAAACCACAAATAGTGGAGGTGGCCCATTACAAAGCACAATGAGTTCTTTATACAATGACCAAATATGCTAACTTACCTCAACAGGATAGACAGTCACACTCAAAACATTACAATTTGTTTCACTCAAGTATCACCCAAATCTAAAACTGAGTAATTATTATGTATTTGAAATTCTTAGGTCATATTTCTATCTTAAGCTGTTTTTCCTAACAGTTTAAAAATTGAAAGTTGAGTGAATAATTGCATGTGGAAAATTATGTACTTAAGAAACAAATAGTGTTTAATGTAAGTTATAGTTAGAAAATAAAATGTAGACATTGGTAAGACACTAAATTATTGATTCAGTGTATTCTTAAAAGATTGTCTGCTTTTATAGATGTAAAAAGTATAATTGACACAATAGCAAGCTAGAATGTTAACTTGATGGACAGGCCATAGCCAGGCATTCTTTAGACCTGATGATCCGGAAAGTTGAAATAAATATTATATAACATGATATAGCAAAGAATTCTTTATGTGGTTTTAAAGTAAATGCATGAATACTGATACGGAAACTCCCCTGCAATAATGGTTTAAAGGGCAAAGACTTCAGTTTTTCTATCATGGTGGGCTTCTTAATTGGCCCATGCTGTATTGACTGACAAATTTGGGTGAACCTTTCTGAGGAACTAGGGACATAACAGAGCATTTTGTTTACTCATTTGTTTTCTTGTCTGTTTATATCTTTCTACTGCATGTTTGACAGTTTGATGGTTAAGCAAAGCAACATAAGTCTAAGGAATCTTTTCAACCAGTCCGTGATTAGGGAACAGGCTTGTGACCTGGCTTGACTAACTTGCCTTTGTAATCATCGTGGCTCACTTTGTAGGTGAGTTTAGTGGAGCTACTTTTAACTGACTCAACCTTGGTTTTCCTACCTGTGAAGTAGGCATAATATCTTTCTGCCTCTACCACAGGATATATTTACCATATTAGACAATATATATTAAAGTGCTTGGGAAAAAAATAACAAAATAGCAGACATATTAGTGTGTCTAGCATACATATTAGTATGTATGCTTATATATTGGTTCTGTGTATTTGTAAAGATTACATTTACATTCAAACTTTTACTGTGAAAACCCTTAAAAACAAGTTAGAATAAAGAAGACATGGTCTAGTCTTCAAAGAATATGTAATCAAATAAGGAAAGGGAATATAAAACAAAGTATATTATCTTATATTGCTGAGTAATAAATTGCCACAAACTTAGCAGTTTAAGATAACATTTGTTTGTCCACAGCGTCTGTGGGTCAGGAGTTAACACTACTTAACTGAGCCCTCTCCTTAGGATCTCACAAGGCTTCAATCTATGTTTTGGCTGGGGATGTAGTCTCATGTGAAAATCTCTGAAGACTGCTCAGGGTGTTGGTAGAATTTATTTCCTGTGGTTGTAGGAATGCAGGCCTCGATTTCTTGCTGGCTATAATCCATACCCACTCTATTGTATAGAATTCATTTCTCTGTGGTTGTATGAATGTAGGCCTCAGTTTCTTGCTGGCTGTAGGCCGTATACACAGAATGACAACAGTGGAATGAGCAAGAAAATGGGAATAAGAAAAGAAAGGGCCTAACCGATTTGGAAGTCAGCTTCATATACATACTTCTTACAACAATTCTACAAGGTATTGTAATTTCCATTTTTACTAAAAAACAACTAGAAATCTAAGAGCCTCCATATTTTGCCCCAGTTAGACATGTAGTGATGAATGAGGATTCAGATGTTCATTTCTCTAGTTCAATGGTTACTCTTTTCTTTTTAATTATACTGTTTACATACCAGAAGCTGCTTACAGTTCTTACAGTGATCTTAGGCAGTCCACAGTACAGCAGTTGGCCTCTGAAAAACTAGCAAGAGAGTAACAAATGCTCCAGAAAGTTGAGTGCTAACATCTTATGCACTGTAATAATGCATTTAAGTACAAGTAATCACTTACATCCCATCATCATTGCTGTATTCTATTGGCTAGAAGTGAGTCATAAGTACTGCAGATACACTAAGAGCAGAGGGAATCACATAGGTTGTTCATGCCAGGATGTATGGGGATCATGGTGGCTTAGTAGGGCGTCTGTCCACACATATGGAGTGGCTTGGACATTCAGTATATATTTTCCTTGGATAGTTTTTCTTAAAACAACCTATGAATGGTGATATCCTGTCAATAAACAGAGAATTTTGAGTACATTGATTTTCATATCCTGATGTAGTCATCATATGAAAACAATGTTCCACCACAGTGTTCAAGCATGTGTGCATATATGCACTCACATATACACACAAATGTGTACGTATGAGTATATTTTGGTTCGTAAAAGACTGCTCAACTTAAATACTGAAAAATCAAGAAAGATATTTGATTCTCTACTTTCTTTAACAATATCTATTTATTGCCTGAGACAAGCTTTAGTAAATACTATTGCATTTATTAAAAGAACAAAAAAAACCTTGGATTTTTATAAAAAACTTCAATCCAAAAATTATATTTTCTAACCAGGTTCAAAATTTAATGTCCTTATTTTAATTATCCAAGCAGACAATTTCAGTTAAAATTTATTTTTTTCTTGTGAAAAGACATAATAGAAGAAAAATAAGTTACAATTTGAGATGAAAATAATGATGGTTTTAGGGGAAGGTAGCATCAGAAAATGGGAATGCTAGTAGAATGAGCAAGAAAGTGGGAATGAGAGGAAAACAAATGCCTATCAGATTTGGTGGTCAGCTTCATATATTATTTAATTCTTACAACAACTCTACAGGATATTAGAGTTACCATTTTTACTAACTATATCAACTAGAAATGCAAGAAAGTTCATATTTACACCAGTTAAATAGGCAGATAGTGATGAATGAGGATGCAAGTGCTTATCTCTCTAGCTCCATGGTCACTCTGTACTGTATCTCCTTGTGCTATTGGACTGTAATTCAAATGACCTACATAAAATTACTTCTAAAGCACATTCAAATGCAGATTCTTGAAACCCATGCCAAATCCAGCATAAGATTTTCTAAGGTTGTAGTCCAAATATCTGCATTTTAAATAAGAACATCAGGGAAATTTTATGTCTATTTAGGTCAGAGATCCATTGAATACTACTAAACTAACTGATTTAGAGAAATAAAACTTAGGCTTAATTCCTATTTCTAATCTTTTATAGATTCATTACTTTAAGCAAGGCACACCTTCTCTTACCCTTAGTCTTTAGCATTTGTAATATGTCTTCCCACTGCCTTACGGCCTTCATTGTTCCTAATGAGATATTAGTAGTTAATCTTATTGGATTACTCTCATACACAGTCAGTGGTTTTTCTCTTGCGTCTTTCAAGTTTTTTTTTTGTTTGCTTCTTTCTGTTTGGCTTTCAGCAACTTTATTATAATGTGTGTCCAGGGGTAGATTGCTTTCTGTCTATCTTACTTGAAGGTTCTTGAAATTCTTGGATGTGTAGGTTAGTGTTTTTTAGCAAATTTGAGGAGCTTTCAGCTATTGTCTATTAAAATTATTTTTCTGCTTTTTTCTCTTCCGTTCTACTCCCATTATGTGTATCTTAGTGTGCTGAAAGAAATTCCATATTCTTCTAAGGCTTTATTCAATTTCTTCATTCTGTTTTCTTGCTGTTCTTCAGATTGCATTCAGCATGGATCAGTCTTCAAGTTCACTAATTTCCTTCTATTTAAAAAAATACTCTGTACTCCCTCTAGTAAATTTTTAAAATTTCAGTTATTGTACATGTCAACTCTAAAATTTCAACTTTGTTCTTTTTAATAATTTCTGTATTTTTATTAATATTCTCTATTTGATTAGACACTGTATCTCCTTCACTTCTTTAGCATGGTTTCCTTTACTTTTTTAAAACATATTTATAATCACTAGTTGACATTTTTATTAAATCTGATATCTAGTCCATCCCATGGCCAGGTTTTGTTGCCTGTCTTGCTCCTTCTTCCCTTTATATGGGTAACGTGTTATTGGTTGTCTTATCTAATTTACAACTGGACATTTAAGTGATTTATTGTGGACTTTCTGGATATGAAGTTCCTTCACTCCTCTCCAGGACCTGTTTTTGTTTGTTTACTTATTAATGATATTGCTAGGATATTTTATTAAAGTGTATTTCCCCTGCATTGTGAAGCCTTTGGTAGCGCTCATTGGAGGGTTTATCCTTGGTATGTGCACAGTTGCCCTCAAATGACAGTAGTTTTAATTGAGTTCTCCTTGACTGTCTTTCTACTTAATCTCCTTGTTAACCTGTCTGCTTTAGTTGGCATTAGACATCGTATATCAGGCTGCACTAATCATAGGCTTTTTGCTTTACTGTTTTTGACAATGCCACGGATTATAAATTTTTCAGCAGTTTGGTCCAATTAAATTTGGGCAGACACAGATTTTTAGGCCAGTTGGGGATATATATATATATATATATATATATATATATATATATATCACAGCATGTATTATCTTAGCTGTCTCTTTCCCTTATTCTGTCTGGTGAATTAGCTAGCTTATAGTTTGGCTTGTTATTCTAAATTATAAGGAGCTATTGTTTTCTAGAGTGCTTTTAGATTTCACCTTCAGCACATTCTGTTTATAATAGAGTCAGTTTCTTTGGGGATAGTTTTGGAGCTCTCTTTCTTCCTGGCTTCCATTCCCCATGAAATAGTTTTATGTGTCATTCTCTGACAACACTCTACTTACAGGATAGTAAGCTCTGGTTTTCCTACTCCTGGTTGCTACTTCTACTCTATGAGCAAGCCAAAGTTAAGGTTGTCAAGGCCTCACTATTCTCATCTTGCCTCACCAAGGGTAGAGCCTTGGTCCTATGGGGAAGGGCTGGATGGAGAAAGGGAGCTGTTCCCAACTGACCTCACCATGAATTTAACTTCTTCAATGTGGAGTTGGAGGGGATGAAGTTTACTGGTACCTTGCCCTCCTGGTGAAATAAAGTAAGTCTTAATTGAAGCTGTGGGGAGAGGGCCAGTCTTTGGCTATATCCATCCAGAGACATAGTGTAGCTTCCACCAAAATCACCAGGGAAAGGCACAAGAGTGAGTCATGGTTCAAATTCCACAGATACTTGTTATCCTTGTTGAGTTACAGTAGATTTTCTTAAATATATATTTTTTAAATGTTTGCTGTATTCCCTTAGGACAAATTTGAGAAATTTTAAATAATTTTTTAAAAATATTTTTATTTTCTGCTTCACTTTTATTGCTAGAAAGTGGGTCTGTGGGACAAGATCATATAACCTTCCTCCTATTTCTAATCAGGATAAAACAAAATTGATCTCGTACTTGGCTTCTAGCCATGTTATAGAGATTAAAGTAGAAATGTTTGAATAAATGTTTCTGTGTCATGAACTATTTACTAGATTTTGGTAAGAAAATATTTCATAAAGGAAGACTCTCATTAAGATTCCACAAAATATGCTGCAAGATTTTTATAGTCTGATTAATTGAATTGGATATAAAGAGGTTATTAAAAATTCATATTAAAGTATTTGTGGGTGAGATTACATTTTGTGTAGATTTTTTTCTTAAAATGTTCCAGCAAAACAAAAGACATGGCAGAGCCAAGCAAATACATAAATAAAGAAGTTTGGCAAGTGTTTGATAAGTTTTGGAGAGAGGTGGCAGATACATGAAAGTTTATTATAAAATACTATTTCTGTATATATTGAGATTTTACATAATACCAAACATTAAAAAGAAAAAGCATATAGAGTAATGTTTGGAAGGTAGGAAACAAAAGGTATATCTTTCAAATCCAGTGGCAGTGACAATCCTTCCAATTAAATATTTAAGAAAAAAACTGTAGGAAGAATTCAACATGTTCACTTAATTGTTTTCATCATTCTCTGTTATTAATATATAGACATAACTCAGGTTACATGGCTATAAATTGCATATAAAGTATCTTTAATTTCAAAATCCCCTAATTTCTAAAAGCTAAGTGCTAATAATGATCTTGGAGCCGAATTAAAAACTATTTACACTATTTTACATCGTTTGCTATTTGACCTGAATTGCATGTCAAAGGAGTTATCCCACAATAGTGCTCAAACCTGAGGTAGCATATAATTTATCATCCAAACTAAGACTTTTTGGGAGTGAAAGTAGAAACTATTAATAGTTACATAATAACATATAATGATTGCATGCCTAAGCCAAAATAGGTCCTTAGATCATATGGACACAATATGTTTACCTGAAAGAACAGTGTGTATAGTATGTAATCTTTCTTAAAAATTTAATAAAAGCATTGGATAGAATCAGAGATATTATCTGGTTCATATTTCTCTTTTTCTATGTCACACATATACGTACATGCACACACACAATTTTCAAATTTGAGCTCAACAGAACTAGAATGAATTATTTGTTTAAGGTTATATAACATACAAGAAATCCATAATCTGTCGACCTTGATAACCTGTATGGTGCTGTTTCCATAAAGGAAATAGCAACAATGAATTTGAATACATTGTAATCCCATTATGGGCCCTATTTTAAAACAAGAAGTTATATATTTTACCTAATTGATGATAGGAGATGCCAGTTTTTTATTCCAATAGTTGAAACACATAGATTCTCAAAATATAAAATATAATTTTAAGGATTTATAATTTTAGAAAATGGTGAGGGGATGATATAAGACCGTTAAAGAATAAAATTTAAATAGCATCAGGAATGATTTCTGCCAACGGATACATTAGGGAAATTAGGGCAGCATAAATATGCAAGAAGAAACAGTTTATTTTTATGTGACCTCACAGATGTTACTTCTCTTTATTTCCAATAATTTTATAATAAACTGCATGTAACTTTATTTACTGAGTATGCTCTAGTGTGAGCAAATTGTTTTTTAAAAATAATAATACAGTATACTTAGCATTCTACTAACATTACTTCAACTACTTCTTGAACAGAGATTTGTTTTGGGGGTAGATTCCATTTGCTGTGGTCTTGAGAAATTGTACATCTGTGTACAAGCCCGATAAACCTTTCTTCCCACAAAGGGAACTTGTCTGAAGGGCTTCTTTTCCAGACTGCCTATGGTGTTTTCATTGATACTGACAGCCTTCTCCTTATAACACTGAAGACCTGATTGTAGCAGCCATCCATACTATAATCTGGAAATCAGGTGAATGGTACTCATCTCAAGTAACTAAGAATAGAGAGCAGCTTTGTCAACAAATTGGTTTATCTTCACAATTTCAAATATTGGACTTGAGTATAAAATATTTTACATCCCCTGTGAAAGTGCCACATTCATTCAGTGTTCTACTTTGATATCACAGTGCATTGTGCCTGCCTGGTTCGATTATAATAACAATAAATTTTCATTGTATAAGTATTATCTGGGAAGTGGGTTAAAACACACACACATACACATACACTTCTCCATGAAGAAGGCAATAAGATTGTTACTTTAATGATAGGACCTGAAATGCAGCTATATCAAGCAAAATAAAATTTTCTGAGAGCTAGAACAAGATTGAATATGATTGACTAAATTACATCCCTGGACCAGACAGCAAAGAATATACTGCATGTGTGTGTGCACACGCGCGCACGTGCGAACACACACACACACACACACACACACACACAGACATAAAACAAAAACAGCTCAGAAAAGGATAAATCATCAGATTTTACTAACCAGCAGGGTGAGGTCTGTAGTCTAGTATTCTTAGAGAAGGGACAATGAGATGGAGAAGAGTATTGATGGCCCCTTTTCACCACCAAATCACAAAATGACAATAAGCAAGAATTTCACAAATCACTCGGGGAAGAGTTCATATATGTTTTGAATTATTTTATAATATTATATAAAGAATATTATATAAAGGGTCTACTCTGTATCAGGTACTCTATAAGTCACTGCCAGACACTGTGCACCCAGAAAGACACCATATATATGCTGACCATTGAGAATTATCCTTGCTCCAGCAAAAAAAAAAAAAAAAAAAAAAAAATTACAGAAAATTAGGTTTTTCCACATGTCGTCTCAAAACACCATTTGGCTCCATCATTTCATCACTTTAGTTCCTACGCCATGCAATTTTGGTAACTTTTAGGCCCATGCTGTCTTCCTTCTTTAAACAAATTTATTTCCCTTAGAGTTGCGAATCAAGCTTAGAATCTTAGACTGCATTTTTAGAGTGTAGCTACTATTTCATTTTTTTCTGATAGCAAGGACACTGGAAGTTGCAGGAATAGGAAGCCCCACTTCTCAAGGTTCAGTGATCTCTGAATGATAAATAAGACTCTACATACTTCCTCTGTACAATATGAGCATTGTATACTCATGAAGGGTAGAAAAAGTAAATAGAAGATACGTGTTTAGTTCTTAAATAGCTTGTAATCTATAGGGGTATCAAATCTTGCTGATTAAGTTTTTATGAGGTTAAAATCCGCTTGATGAAAAGAGATCTTTTATTTTCTATTACTAATTGATGCTTTACAATTACAAAGCCAATGAGTTCACCCATGCAGAGGAATATGCTGAAGTAGCACATGGCAAATTGAATGCATCTTTCCTTTAGGAATGCCATATAGCCAAATTAAAAAAGAAATGGAAATTACAAGTTATTACAAAAACAGTGGATACCTTAAAAACATTCTCTTCCCATTGCTTTATAGGTAAAACAGACAAATATATTTCAGAGCAAGTCCCTGGCAGTGAGATATTAGAAAATGTATTTTGCTACCAATATGTTTAAAGATGTAAATTATATCACTGTGACTATTTCTTATTAAAAGAGTACTGTTTGATTAATTTAAAAATAGAGTATATTTTAAGGTAATGGACAAAAGCTTACATAGGAACATAAAGCTCTGTAAAAACTATTTGTAACTTTAAAAATAGTTAATAAGTTCAGAATAATTCAGGTTGTGGCCATTAAATCACAATGAGCATAGTGACCAAAATAACAAATATTTATAATATGTTAATAAAGTGTTTGACCAGCACAAGTATAGGAGTTTTTTTTTTAAGTCCAGATGTCTTATCCTTACAATAGAAAAATTAATTTAAAATATCTGTGGGTTGATCCTGTACATCTCTATTTTAAAAGTCAGTGAGGTGATTCTAGGATCAGCCAACCACTCTTACAGACTCCAGTTTCATAAGGGGAAAGCGGTGAATTTAAGTTTTTCCTTTTTCATTGTGCATAAAGAGTGGAAGCTGAAGGGAGGACACAGTGTAGGTATATTATTCTCATTTGTGAAATTATTAAAATTTTAACACAATCAAATGAAATTTTTATACTAGGATAGTTGCACATTTCCCTGTAACACTTACATGAATATACAAATATTTGAAAATATTTTGTCAATACCATGTTCAAATTTACATGTGTACATACACACCCTATCACATGCATTTTTATAGGCAAATGTCTGAAAAAAAGGAACTAGATGGCAAAATGTTAAAAAGTAACCTAGAACACTTGAAAATGGGCTTGAATACTTGAATATAGCAAATGCAATAGAAAGGAGAAATAACATATGGAACACAGACCAGATTAATTAACTGAAGCTTTGTTTATAGAAAAGGGATTCTTCATTTTTCCACTTACCCATAAACAACCAAAAAACATTATACAATAGCACAGTGGGACTTATCTGAAGTCACAGAACAATTTGTGATTAAATAAGACAGCTACTGTGGAAATATCGCCTTATAATAGTATTGTAAGGGTCCCAACCTTAATGGCATTTTCCAAAACAGAAAAAGAAAATCTAACAATCAACTAATCTTGGAAGCTACTGAACCATGGGCTCCAATATGAATAGGAGAAAATTGAGAAATTGAAGAAAGAGACAGGAAGAGAAAATTAAGTAAAGAATGTTCATGAGATGATAGTAAAATAGAAAGTGCCAATATAATAGCCATGTGACAGTTCTCTAAAGCCACCAGACTAGACAGGAACAGAAGGTTGGAGGGCTCCAGAATGAATATTCCCCAGAAAGCAAATGAATCAGAAATTATTTGACAGATATAATGTAGGTGGTTCAGTTAATAATTATAGAGCTATGGAAAGTTAAGGAAAAACTGTATTAGATATTTGTGTTATGCTTTCCGAGAAAATAGATCAAATGAGAAGGTGGGGTGGAGAGAGAGAGAATGATAAATCAGAAAATAATGCTTAAAAATTGTATGAAAAATGAAATGGATTAAGTATGCTACTTGGTAAAACAAAAAGAAAATAAATTTAACCCAAACATGAGATGATATTTATTGGGAAGATGAAGTTTCAAGGAAAGGGGGTATCAGTGGGTATCTAATAAAAATAATTCTATTAGAACCATCAATGGTATGCTCAGGATGAGTTATGCAATTTTAAATAATTTAAATGTATTAACTCATTTTAGCCACATAAAAGAAATGGTTAAAATTACTATCCCCATTTTCAGATGATAAATTGATGTAGAGTAAGGTTAAAATAATAGGTCCAACATCACTCTGGTAGTAAATGCCTTAGCTGGAATATGATGTATTGGTGTTACTCAAAACTAATACTACTGTGTATTGATCAATTAATTTTGATCAATTACTTAAAAACTGCATATTTTTTACTAAGAATGTAAGATTGTTTGCCTATTGGAAATGGAATGGTATAGTAGGGAGGAGGATAGAATCTATGGAATAATAGGGGATAAAGGAAGGCTACTTTGTGTTATGTCTTTTTATTTTTATGTTGCTTTACTTAAAAGCATTGTTGGAATTTGGATAACATTGCATTTATTTAAACCTATAAAACTTTCATTTCTATACATTCAATTTTTGTCACAACATTCATATCCATATATTAATCATTCCTACGTATACATTAATCAATGTAAAGCTAAGCATCTGGGTAGGGAATGTTTTTAAGTTGTTTATCCAATGTGTTAGTTAGAAGAAAGCGAAGATTAGTAGATAAGAATCTTGACTCCCATTGTAGTATTCTTCCTATAATCACCCATAGTGCTGCTATAAATTCTTCGTATCTGCTTAATGATGGAAGTATGTAAGACATGCCAAGGGAGGATGGAGCCTCATGTTATTGTCAAGTAACTTAACAATGAAGTTTGTGATGGCTCCAGCCTTTTGGAAGTGTCTAAGTCATCAAAAAGGGAATGTAAATTTGTCCTGGAGAGTTGGAACATTTATTTCACACAGAAAGATGGATCTCCCTATGTATTCTTGGTACAACCTTTATGATCTATGATACCGTGGCACAGTAAACAATCCATCTCAATGCAGAGATGTAATAATCCATACGCATTAGGACTCAGTGGAGGTCCTATATCTATATACACCATTTTATCTGGCAATCTCTTTTGAAAAGATAGAAATATTATTCCAAGATAGAAATTCCAAGAAGTGTAAAGTTTATACAATATACCCAACAAATGTTGTGCACCTTTTATATGACAAGAAATGCAATAGGCATTGGAAAAAGGCAATGAGTAAGACAAACGAGGTTACATTTTTCATTAGGTTATATTTTATAGGAGAGACAAAGATGACAGATGAAGAAAAAAGAACACGATGAACTCAGATGATCATAAATATTAGAAAGAAAATAAAGCAGGGCACAGGATTTGGGACAAAAAAACCAAGGGGTTCTATTAGATTGAGGGTCAGACACATCTCTCTGTCAAGCAAATATTTAACCTGAGACTTGAATTAAAAGATAATTGCAAGCAAGAGTCTTGAAACATAAGCGTGTAATGCAGAAGGAACAGTAAGTACAAGTTAATTGACCAGGAAAAGAAGCTCAGCACATTTGGGGGAAAAAAATGAAGGGCAGTGAGGCTAGTGCAGATCTTTTCAACTTGACCAAGTCACAATAGTGTGACGCAAATGGCCTATAGATGTGCAGAGATATCATTGCTATCAGTCCTCAAGGCAACTGGGTATGGTGTATGTGGCCTGAGTTCCTGGGCCAGAATCTGCCCAGATGCTGATCATGAGTAGTCTCTTTAATTTACCCAGCGTTCCATAAAAATATTACCTTTGTTCTCCATGTGTCAAAATTGTGGAAAACTTGGAAAGCGTGGAGTTAGTGAGTAATGAAGGAGAGGAGCAAGATGAGTGTGAAGAGGTAGATAGAGACCTGTTCATATAAGAGCTTGTAGTTTGTGGAAAACTGTTCAGAATTTAGGTGAGAAGTCATTTAAAAAGAGTGAGATAATTTAATATGCTTAATGGGATCTCTCTTGCTGCTCTGTATACAAACACTAAGTAACGGATTAAAATCAAGACGCATTCTACAGCTGGGCATGGTGGCTCACACCTGTAATCTCAGCACTTTGGGAGGCCAAGGCAGGTGGATCACAAGGTCAAGAGATCGAGACCATCCTGGCCAGCGTGGTGAAACCCCCATCTCTACTAAAAATACAAACACTAGCTGGGCATGGTGGTGCGTGCCTGTAGTCCCAGCTACTTGAGAGGCTGAGGCAGGAGAATCGCTTGAACCGAGGAGGTGGAGGTTGCAGTGAGTCGAGATTGCGCCACTGTACTCCAGCCTGGTGAAAGAGAAAGACTCCATCTAAAAAAAAAAGAATCATTCTACCTGTTCATCATTAGGGTGACCTTGAGGTTGTCGCTTGCTATCTCGATATCTCAATTCCCTTATCAAATCATCCAAGATAATAGCATTTGTTCTTAGGTTTGCAGCACAGGTGTCATGAGAAAGAAAGCTGGATGATGTCAATGGTTGCCCTGAGAAAGAGAACACATAAAGGGGAGATTGTTATTTCTGCTACTGACAACACACATTCCAACCTGCCAATTATCTCTCCCAGATCACTTTGTGAACAAGGGCCGATTAGTACATTAACTTCCCAGAAGAGTGATAATGGGAATGGTGAGTCACTGGAGATTGTCTTGGCACTGATCAGTTCCCACTGGCCATGCTAAGTCAGAACAAGAATGAATGGCAACAGGGGCCAGGAACAGTGGCTAATGCCTGTAATCTCAGTGCTTTGGGAGGCCGAGGCTGGTGGATCACTCGAGGCCAGGAAATCGAGACCAGCCTGGTCAACATGGTGTAACCTCGTTTCTACTAAAAATACAAAAAAAAAAAAAAAAAAATAGCCAGCCGTGGTGGCACATGCCCATATTCCCAGCTACTTGGGAGGCTGAGGCATGAAAATTGCTTCAATCCAAGAGGTGAAGGTTGCAGTGAGCCGAGGTCATGCTACTGCACTCCAGCCTCAGCGACAAAGCAAAACTCCATCTCAAAAAAAAAAAAAAACAAAACAACAACAAGAACAACAAAACAGAGATATATATTCACCTATGACCCTTCTCTATCAGTTAAGTCTTCAGAATAAACCACAAAGACATCTATTTTCTGGCAGCTGTTGGGCTACTAATCACCTTACTCTGACGTTGCTTTTTTTTTTTGGTTAAATATTTTAGAAATAAGACATGACACCAGTTAACAATCAGGCCTGCAGGTATGGAGCAGGACAAGCATCAGACATCTGTTCTAAATGACACATAACAACCTGTAGGCCTTATGTAGAACAGGCTCTCAATATGTTTAGATGTGAAATACCAAAATCACTTATATCTGTTTTGTTTCATAGGGTCTAGTGGTCTGGTTTTTCTTCTTTAATAAATGAAATAAATTTTCATTTCCCTTCCTCAAATTGTTACCAAAAATTTAAAATTATGGCATCGCAGTTATATTGAATATCAGAAACTCTGATATTGATATTTTAACGTGGATAAAGGCACAACTCTTTCTCTCAAAATGCAAATATTAAAAGATGTTACCTGAAAGGCAGGTAAGGAAGGGATTTTTAAATGATTAAAAAAAATATTAGGGCATGAGGATGCTTATGAGATGCAATGGAAGTGTTCAGGAGTGGAGGTGGATGAGGTGGAAATTGGCTACCATTATCTTAAGAGGAGGGGTTATTTTTAGAAATATGCACTTGAACATGTATGGGAACACAGAATCAAAAGTAATGATGAAAAATTTGACTTTTGTTGGAAGCAAGGACAGTTTATTGTTACAAGAGGGAAGGAAAAAGTACAATTGCAGATTCATTGAGTAGACATAGGGTGTATAGGGAAGATAAAGGAGTTTCTATAAATCTATCTTTACCGAATTATGAAGCAAGACCGTTAGCTGGGTGAGAAAGAGTGTGAGAGGAAGTTTGAGGCAAAAAAGAAGTTGGGAATAAGTTCAAATGCAGAGGCCTAGACCAATTCATTGAGTGCCGCAGTTTCAGCCTTCCTAAACTCACTTCACTGGGACATCATTGCTCACAGAACTGTGACACTCAGTAAGAATCTTTCCAGCATTAGGGAGATGGCCTTTTGTTCTCATGCTGAGATTCTCAGGAAAGTTTTGATTATTCACTTTGGATATAATGAAAATAGTTTATGAATCAGAATATTATCCAGGATTTTATTCTGTGTATAGGCTGTGTGATTTTTGCCTAGTGCCTTAACTTATTTTAAGGGAAGCTTGTAACTAAATGATAGAAAGCATATTTAGTGTTTCCTTGAGATGAGGGCGGATGGGACTGCAAAGGTCAGAAGGAAACTTTTGAGGGTGATGGATCTGGTCATTATCTTGATTGTGGTGACGTTTTCCTGGGTGCACATGTAAGTGAAAACGTATCAAGTCATAGGCTTTAAATATGTGCAATATATTGTTGTCAATTATACATCAATAAAACTAAATAGTTTGTAGGCTATGACCTAATTAACATTTTTTGGTAAATTCCAAGTACACACATAACTAAAAAATGCTGACATCTAAAATACAAGATTTTTTTAAATAAGAAAAATGTTTTATAATATGAAAAACTTCTCTTTGAAAAACAAATTCTATCAGGCTAAAAGGTTGAAGTAGGCGGAAGGTGGTTTCTGAAACTAGCACAAAGGAGGAGTTTAATAATATTGTAGTTATTGGTACCTTAGCCCAGGGTGATAGCTGGTACAAAGAGTTCCAATGGGTAAAAGTGCTACCTGAGATAGCTTTTATGGAAATTTCATTAGGACACAATATTTATCCTTGGGAATCTTTTGTCTTCTTCGGCAACTCTGCTTTCTAGGCATCAAATTTTTTTCATGTTGATAAAGCTTCTCTCTCATGCTTCTAAACCCAGCTAAAAAGATGCTAATCGATTCAGCCCCAATATCTTTAGGCACTTAAATGTATCACCCCTAAGTAGGATACCTCTGTTTTAATAGGAAGTCTATAAAAAGTTCATGTGTTTATTCGATTGATTATTCCACAAAGATTAATTTTCTTTTTATAAGCACTTGGATCATAAAAATATAAGTAATGTAAAATAAATGTTTATTTTCTTACTAAGAACATTTTCTCTTCACATTCAAATTTAACAAATTACTCAATTGTCATTTCTATTCCTATTTTCTATGTGATTTTCTTTCTGCTTCCAACTTATTTTGCACTTCAATTTGGGGCCATATTTTCTGATACGTAATTGGTTGGTAGTGTTTATTTTACATGGATGAAAAGGTATGTCATGGTAGGAGCTTTCTTGTGTTGATTTATACAATATCTAAAACATCTTAGGTAAAAATAAAAATATTTGCACAGACACTCAAATTATACCTTGTGGATAACTACCTTGACCAAAGAAAATCTGGAAGACCCCTGAGTCAGCTCCTTTCTGCTGCCTTTGTGATATTTCTCCGTGACCCCATGAGTATGTAATTCATTATTGCATTTTATGTTCACCATGATCCGTATACGTACCCATATACTTGCCACATATCATTATATTTAACTGTGTACATTTCTTAAGTCCTTTAATGCAGAATGTATGCAGTTTTTTCTTTTTCAACTTTTATTTAAAGTTAAAGGGTACATTGTATGTTGCTGGGTTTGGTGTACAAATGATTTTGTCTCCCCAGTAGTGAGCATTATACCCAATAGGTAGTTTTTTGACTCTCACTTTCCTCGCACAAATCCACCCTCAAGTATGCCCTGATGTCTATTGTTCCCCTCCTAGTGTCCATGTGTATTCATTCAGTGTTTAGCTCCCGCTAGTAAGTAAGAACATGTGGTATTTGGTTTTCTGTTACTGCATTAATTGGCTTAGGATAATAGCCTCTAGCTCTATCCATGTTGTTTCCAAGGATATGATCTTCCTATTTCTTATGGCTGTGTGGTGTATCTGTACAACATTGTCTTTATCCAGTCTACCATTAATGGGCATCTAGGTTGATTCTATGTCTTTGCTATTGTGAATAGTGCTGTGATGAACATAGGAATGCATGTGTCTTTTGGTAAAATAATTTGTATTCCTTTTGGTATATACCCAGTATGGGATTGCTGGGTCAAATGGCAGTTGTTTTAGGTTCTTTGAGGAATCTCTAAGCTACTTTCTACAGTGGCTGCACTAACTTATATTCCCACCAGTAGTATATAATTGTTCCTCTTCTCTGCAACGCTACCAACATCTGTTATTTTTTGACTTTTTAATAACCATTCTGACCGGTGTGAGATGATATCTCACTGTGGTTTTGATTTGCATTTCTTTAATAATTTGTGATGAGCATTTTTTTATATGCTTGTTGGTTCTGTGTATTTCTTTACAGAAGTGTCTGTTCATGTCCTTTGCCCATTTTTAATGAGATTGTTAGTGTTTGGCTTGTTGATCTGTTGAAGTTCCTTATAGATTCTGGATGTTAGACATTTGTCTGATGTATAGTTTGCAAATATTTTCTTTCATTCTGTAGCTTGTCTGTTTATTGATCATTTATTTTGCTGTACAGAAGCTCTTTAGTTTAATTTGGTCCCGCTTCTCTAGTTTTGTTTTTGTTGCAAATGCTTTTGGATACTTTGTCATGACATCTTTGCCAACACCTATGTCCAGAATGGTATTTCCTAGGTTTTCTTCCAGGGTTTTTATAGTTTTAGGTATTACATGTAAGTCTTTAATCCATCTTGAGTTGATTTTTGTGTATGGTGAAAGGAAGGGGTCCAATTGCCAGCCTTTCCAAAGGCTTGGAAAGGTCCAAGCCTTTTCTGTTACCTATTGAGATGGTCATGTAGTTTTGCTTTTAGTACCATTTATGTGATGAATCACATTTACTGGTTTGCATATGTTGAACCAACCTTGCATCCCAGGGATAAAGTCTACTTGATCAGGGTGGATTAGCTTTTTGATGTGCTGCTGGACTTAATTTCTAGCATTTTGTTGAGATTTTTTGCATCTGTGTTTATCAGGGATATTAATCTAAAGTTTTCTTTTTTTATATCTCTGGCAGGTTTTGATAATAGGATGATGCTGACCTCAGAATGAGTTAGGGAGCACTCCTCTCTCCTTGATTTTTTAAACTAATTTCAGTAGGATTAGTTTTAGCTCTTATATGTCTACCAGATTTTGGCTGTGAATGGGTCTCTTCCAGTGCTTTTTCTGGTTGCTAGGTTTTATATTAGTGATTGAATTTTGGAACTTATTATTGGTCTGTTGAGGATTTCAATTTCTTCCTTGTTTAATCTTGGGAGGTTTAATTTTGCCAGGATTTTATCCTTTTCTTCTAGGTTTTATAGTTTGTTTGCATAGTGTGGTTTTCATCATAATATTTTGTATTTCCATGGGTTCAATGGTAATGTACCCTTTATTATTTCTGATTGTGTTTATTTGAATCTTCTCTCTATATATATATATTATTCTAGCTAGCAGTTTATCACTCTTCTTTATTCTTTCAAAGAACCAACTTTTGCTTTAGTTGATCATTTGTATAGTTTTTCATGACTCCATTTTGTTCATCTCAGCTCTGATTTTATTATTTTTCTCCTGCTAGCTTTGGGATTCATTTACTCTTGTTTCTCTAGTTACTCTAGATGTGATATTAGGTTGTTAATTTGAGATGTTTCTAACTTCATGTTGCCATTTAGTGCTATAAACTTTCCTCTTAAGATTGGTTTTATCTGTGTCCCAGAGTTTCTGGTATGTTGTATCTTTATTTTCATTTGTTTCAAATTTTTGTTTGTTTGTTTTCTGCCTTAATTTCATTCTTTACTCATGAGTCATTCAGGCGCAGGTTGTGTAATTTCCATCTAATTTTATTGCTTTGAGAGATCTGCTTCATACTGATTTTAGTTTTATCGAACTATGGTTTGTGAGTGTAATTGACATGACTTTGGTTTTTTGAATTTGTTGAGAATTGTTTTATAACAAGCATGTGGTAGATCTTAGAGTATAGTCCATGTGCAGATGAGAAGAATATATATTAGGCTGTTAGTTGGAGTATGTTGTGGATGTCTTCTAGGTCCATTTAGTCAAGGGTCAAGTTTAAGTCTCAAATTTGTTAGTTTTCTGCTTCAATGGTCTGTTTAACACAGTAGTGTGTTGAAGTCTCCAACTATTACTGTACGTTTATCTACATCTCCTCATAGGTCTCTAAGAACTTTTTTTATGAATCTGGGTACCCCAGTGTTGGGTGCATATATATTTAGGATAGTTAAGTGTTCTTGTTGAATCGAACACTTTGTCATTATGTAATGCTTTTCTTTGTCCTTTATGATCATTGTTGGTTTAAAGTCTGTTTTGTCTGAAATAAGAATAGCAACCCCTGTCCTTTTTTGTTTTCTGTTTCCTTGAGGGCTCTTTCTCCATCCTTTTTCTTTGAGCCTATGGATGTTATTGCATATAAAATGGGCCTCTTGAAGAAAGCCCATTTCACTGGTTCTTTCTCATCTGTGTTGGCTGAGGTCTCTTTAATCTTTGAAATTGCTGTCTTTAGGATGGGGCTTTTTGCTTTTATATTCTTTCATGCCCTTGAGAGTTTGACTGTGGTATCAGTTGGGCTTAATATCAGCACTTCTGGGCTGTGTGCTCTAATCCTGTGGGGGTTGGGCCAGGCCTGTGGCTTTGTTCTTTGGCCTCTCAAAGCTAAGCACCTGCTGCACTGGAGGGGCTGAGGTGTTCTCAGTATGCTGCCAATGACACTCCAAGGGGGGCTGCCAGCAAAGGTGCTCTGGCAGTATGGTAGTGATCCCTCATGCATGTGCACACTGCCATGTCAGGAGGGTTTCTTACGTGTGTGAATACCAGCAGTGGGTCCATGCATGTTCCCCTCCTTGGTTCTCTGAAAGCATATGTGCCAGCGGGGGAACAGGGATATGCTGTGGGTGGTTGTGCACTGGTGGAGACAGGTTGCTGGCAGGTACATGCCAGTGTGGGGGAGGCAGTGGGCAGGTGCACCCTGGTGTGGGTGTGTCTGCAAAAGCACTCCAATGGGTAGTCAGAGTCTACCAATGAAAAAGGTATGGCAGTGGCCATGGGCAACCTGAGGCTGAGCTACAAGCAAGTGTAACCAGGCAGTGGCCTTGGGAGAAGCCAGCAGACAGGGGTGTGCTCAGATCGGACTGGCCTAGTCCCACAGGCAGGACAGGTCTGCTCTGTCCAAATCCAGAAGCTAATAAATGCTATAAAGCCACCTAGAGGAGGATGACAAGCTTTGGAGTATGGGTGCCCATGACGTGCTCCACTGAAGGCATTCCTAGGCCAAAACTTCTGGGCTCTGCACAGGCTAAAGTTCTGTCTGTGCCAACTCTCCAGGTAGATTTCCTTGCCAGCTCAGATGTCCATGAGTGTTGTGGGATCTCACCCACCTAGGATCCTAGAGATCTGTAGTGAGAGTAGGCCACTCCACCCTTATTTCACTTACCTCTCCTCTAGGTGCCACTCAGGGCCAGAAATGAGTCATGGTTCCCAGCTGCCTTCCCTTTCAGCCATGGTCTGCATCCCTTCTCTCCACTCTCAGTGACTTCTTTCTGAAGACATGTTCAGAGCATATCTGGAGAAGCTCTTCTTGGTTATATCTAGTTGGCCATCTTCTCCAGGATGTATGTTTTTTTAAATTTTTATATCTTCAGTACTAAGAATAGTTTCTGGCACTTACTAAATTCTAATAAACTGTTAAAGGAGGGAAGAAAGATACTGTTTTAGGAATAGGAGTTACATCATGGAACAAAAATTAAAAACAACTCCATGAACTCATATCGTCTACATTTGACTTTCTAACTGGTCTAGTTTTCTATATGTATAAACATGTAGACAAACATATATATCTGAACTTCTCTTGACAGAACTACGTAGAAGACAGAATTGGGCTAAGCATGTAATCCCTGGTTCAATATTCTAATTCCTCATTAAGATGTATGGTTCCTTTTCACCAACTTATAAAATATTTTTATATTCTATGTACCCATTGCTTCCAATATACAGAAGATCCAAATACAAATATTAGCAATAACAAATAGCACATAGTTGACTTAATTTTTTTCCTTCCAATACATTCATAGATGAAAACATGTACCATTCAAAATAACCTTAGCTTCATACATATTAAATATGAGTTACGAAAAACTCTACTATTATAAAACTATTGTATATTTAATTGAAAAGATTAATGTTTAGTGTCAGGAATCACTTAGTTAATTGCCAAAAGGATAGTGCATATTTTATACTACAGTTATTTTATAAGCATTGTAAGTGCATTATGATCAATGAAATTGTATACTCTCAGCATACGTCCTTATTTATTTTAGGCAAAAGGCATTTAAAATCAGATTGCACACTGATCTTCCATAAAAATGTTACACTACCACATTTACAAAGTAGATTTATATAAGAGAGAACTAATAACAATCTTACTCTTGCCCTCTCTATATGATTTTGAAAGGTATTAACTAATGTTTAAAATAGTTTTACTTTGTTATTTTTCATTACTATCATTAATATGTCTTGCTGTTTCTATTTAGTCTTTGAGGGAATATTTAAAAAGCCTGATGTTAGCAAAATCCATTTGTAAGTAGGATTTTTTGTAGCACTTTGTATCTATGCTGGAAAAAAACCCACTATATATTACATAGTTTATAATATCCAATATATTAACTTCAGAATAAATTTTGAAGTAAAAACAAAAAATATAGTGTTAGTATTTAAATTTCTTTAACTCATTTACTGATGTAATTAGTAGCATACAGCAAAGCCTATTTTTTCAAAATTATGAAACAAAAATGGCTAAGTAGCCTAAAATAATTACATATTTTAACTGCATATATTTCTTAATTTTAAATAAACTGTGTCTCTTGCTAATTATTGTGAACGTTATCTACCCAAAGTTTTCTAAAAGTGGGTGGTCTTAAGTGATGTACAAGTTTATATACTTTACACATACAACACCTCCACCCCCAACACCTAGATAGCCTGTGCTTAAGTGAAGAAAATGTCAGAAAAAATACAGAAAATCAATTGTACCAGGAATTATGATTCCATTCCTTTAGACATATTTGGTCAGGATTTAGTTAGCTAGCTTCTTTTTAACTTTTCTGAAAATCGCCCTAGTGATATAGATCAGGATATATATTTTTAAATTTTCATTTTAATTCTTGTTTGACCAATGGGTTATTTAGTTGTGTTTATTAAAATTTCTATTTTTTTCCTATAGTTGTTTTTATACTGTTTTTATAATTTAATTTCATAATATTTTGAGAACATGGTTGGCAGAATTTTAATTCTTTTAAATTTATTTAGACTGTTTTACTTTTTAATTGACAAAAGCTGTATATATTTATGATATAAAACATGTTTTGATATGTGTATGCAGTGTGAAATAACTAAATCAGGTTAATTAACATATCCATTACCTCACATACATGCCTGTCTTTTTCCTATGATAACTTTTAAAATCTACTCTCCTAGCAGTTTTCAAGTATACAATACATTATTACTAACTATATCACCATGCTGTACAATAGATCTTTGGATATTTTCATCTTATCTAACTGAAATTTTGTACCTTTTGACTAACATCTACTCCACTCCACCCTACCCCAGCCTCTAATAACTACTACCATGCTACTCTTTGCTTCTATGAATTTAGCTTTTTAGATGCTACATGTAATTGACATTATGCAGTATTTTGTTTTTGTGTGTCTGGCTTATTTCACTTAACATAATGTCCTCCAGATTTAGCCATGTTATTGCAAATAACCAGTTTTTCATCTTTTATAAAGGCTAAATAGCATTCCGTTGCATATATGAACCACATTTTCTTTATCCATTCATGCATTGATGGACATGGGTTGATTCCATTTCTTGGCTATTGTGAATAATACTTCAATAAACATGAACATGCAGATATTTCTTCAACATACATATATTATTTCCTTTGGATATATACCCAGAAGTGAGATTGCTAGATCGTATAGTAGTTTAATTTTGAATTTGTTGAGGTATTTCTGTACTGTTTTCCATAATCGGTATACTAACTTACATTCTCACCAACAGCCTGTAAGGATCCTCTTTTCTCCACAACCTCACCAACACTTGTTAAATTGTCTTTTTTATAATAGCCATACTAACATGTGTAAAGTGATATCTAAAAAGCTTATGCACAGCAAATAAAACAATGTACAGAGTCAACACATGGAATAGGAGAAAATATGTGCCAACAATACATCTATTTGTGGTTAATATCCAAAATATATTGGGAACGCAACTCAATAGCAATACAACAAATAACCTAATTATAAAAATTAGCTAACAATCGGAAAAGCTGTTTCTCTAAAGAAGACATACAAAGGGCAAATAGGTTTATGAAAATATTCTCACAAACTATCAGAGAAATGCAAATTAAAATCAATTTGCTCCTTATTTTTTGCCTATCATACTGTCAATCTAAATAATCCACATGTGCTTGAAAAGGGTGTATATTCTGCCAGTGTTAGGTATACTGTTCTATATGTCAGTTATGTTCATTTTGCTAATAATATCATTGAAGTCTTCTATATCCTTGCTAATTTTCTGTCTAGTTGCTCTATAAATTACTGAGTATTTAAATATTAAAATAAAAAATAAAAAAATAAAAAATTATGTTTTTAGTTTTTCTATTTCTCCTTTTAATTTTTCCAAATATTCTAGACTTGTGGTGCTATATATTATATATATAATATATAATAACCAAAACTATTTTAAATTTGTATATTACATATTATATAGAGAGACAGACTGATGCAGTGACACTTTTGTCATGATAAATCATCTCTTTTTCTCTAGCAGTAATCCTATTTTGTCTATTTTTTTGATAATACAGTCATTCTCTTGTTAATTTAGCATGTTATATATTTTTCTATCCTTTTACTTTCAACCTATTATATCTCTTACAGACATTACACAGTTGTATCTTGCTTTCTTCTCCACTCTGAAACTCTTTTTCCTTATGATTGGGATAATTAGTGGATTCACTTTTTTAATTCAATTATCGATAGTGTTAGACTATATCTGCCATTTAGCTTTTTGTTTTCTATACAAATCTACTTATTCATCTATTCCTTCTTCACTGTTGTATTAAACAATTTTTTTTGCTTAACATTGAAGTTTCTTCATTTTTCCTATATATTTTACATTGATTTTGTAAATGGGATTACAATTTGCATCTTAAATACCAAAACTGTTTTAAATTAATAGTAAATTATAGTAACATATACTTTGCTCATATACCCTATTTGGCACATTTCCTTTATACACATACATGTAGAATTACAGCCTTAAATAAATATACCATTTTAAATGAAAGAAATAGCATGTTTTTTTCCCTATATTTATTATTGCTGGTGATAAATTACTGCAATTTATAATTTATTAATTTTAATACTTATTTTATACTCAATTTATTATTTATACTTTTGTAAATTTTATACTTATTTACACTTGTTTTAAAGAGCAGAATTGCCAACTTCTTTAAATCACCATAATCAGAATTTTCCCAAGTATTTTTAAGAAATGTTTTTAAATTAAGAAGCAACTAATACATTTACTAGCACCTTTAGCTTTGCTGTCACTCTTTATTCCTTTATGTAGGTCCAGGTTTCCATCCAATTCCATTTTCCTTCTATGAGAATAACTTACTTTAATGTTTGTTATATGCAAGATCTTCTGGCAGTACATTATCTCAGATAGTTTCTTTGTGAAAACATCTTTATTTTGCCTTCAGTGAGAATATTTTTATGGGGCAACAGTTCTAAGTTGATTTACCTTTTTTTCTTTCAGTTCTTCAAATGTTTTACTTCACTTAATTTTTGTTGTGTAATGTCTGATAAATCTCTCATATGTCTTTTGTTCCTCTGTACTTCATTTGTCTTACTCATCTCTCTATGCTTTGATACTTATTTTTGCATTTGATTTTTAGCAAGTTCTATCATTGCAGTAATTTCTAGATCTATTGATGGGTTTGTCTTCTGGTTTTCAGTCATTAGGGGCTTCTCCACATGTTTCAGAATGTTTTATGCGATAATATATTTTGTGATTTTTCATTGTTTGTTTACTTTGTTGTATTTTTTAGTTGCACTAAATTTTATTGAGACACAGAATTAAGTTACTTGGAATCAATTCAGTACTTTCAAAGTTTGCTTCTCAGATTTGTTATGGTGGTTTCAGGGCAGTGGTTGGTGTAGAGCTAACGGTACCATTCCTAAGGTGGTAACCTTTTAGGATTCTGATACTCTGTATATGAATTTTTTTTCACACTAGTAGGAGTATCAATAGTTCCTAGTCCTATGAGCTAAGATTCTACAAAGACAATTATAAAACAAGTTAAGGAAAAATAAGATCAATATACATACAGAGATACACACATTTTTAACTGAAAGTCTCAGTATTGTCAATCTGCTTATTCTGGTACTAATCTATAAGCCTATGAGCTAAGAACTATTGATATTCCCACTAGTATGAAACTATTCAGCTCTGGCAATTGTTTAATCTATTACTTTTCCATGGCTTATTCTCCAGCCTAGAATATTTTTCTTGTACATGCAGAATCATTTCCAGTCGTGAGGGAAACTTTATGCTGATTTACAAAATTCTCTCTCTCTCTTAATCGATCCTGCAATTTTTAGTTGTCTTTGACTCCCTGAAATCTATTCTCTATTTTCTCAAATAAATGCAACCAAGTTCTTAGATTCCACTTTTGCATGCTATAGAGAAGCAGAAATCTGTAGAAGTTGGAGGATCCACCTTGTTTGTTTCCCTCCTCTTAGAAATCACTTCATTGTGCTCCCTGTTGTTCATATGTATATTTCCCTAGGTTTTATAGTTTGTGTTGTTTGATGTTTATATGTGAGCATAAGTCATTTCCCAGTAAAATATCTTAGCCAGAAGTAAAGTTTCTATTTTGATATTGATAGGGATTACATGAAAACTATAGATTAGTACCAGGAGAATAAGCATATCGAGACTTTCAGTTATAAATGTGTATATTTCTCTGTATATGTTGATCTTATTTTAAAAAATGTTTTATAATTGTCTTTGTAGAATCTGGCAAGTATTAAATCTTATATTTATTACTAAATATTACAATTACACAGAATCAGTTGATTGAAAAGACTCATGAATCTGCAGAGTACACTCACATAAGACTTTAATAAAGCTAATGATACAGAACAGATAGATAATTAAAACATTGGCTATCATTGAGTAGTCCAGGATTCTACATATACCCCTCAACATACTCTCTGCACAGAATATACTTCATTTTTGAATTATGAACCTCTAAGGTACATGTAAGATTAGTTCCAGGGGAGACTAGGCGAAAGTTTGAGGGATTTTTTTTTTATAACCTGCTGCTTATGTATTTAAAAACAGGCTGTGTAAATTGTTAAACCAAGTAAAAGCCATCAATCTATACATCTCTGAACAAGCTATATAAGCTAGAACAGGGTTCCCACAAAAGATTTTCACTTATACATGGCATATTATAAATCACTAGCTAGACGTTCTCATCCATATTTTGGCTGAAGGTCATGATCACCCCTCCAGGTTCTCTGAAGATAAACACAGAGATACCTCAAGCCCACTGCAGATAACTATATCTTTATGCACTGTTTAATAGTTTGATGTTGTTATAAATAATACAATTTTTCTTTTCCTTTGTTTGATATATAAAAATTTACTTTTTTGTATCAAATGGCTTTATATCCAATAACACTGGTAACTCTCATATTGATTGAAGTACTTTGTCAGTAATTTTACATTTTCTATGACAATCATATCTGTGATTTAAGAAAATAAAATTGACAGTAATTTTTTTCTCCTGTACCACTCTTAAGATTTTGTTTCTTTTCTCCTCTTACTGATTAGAATCTCCAGCACAATGTTGAATAGAATCGGTGAAGAAAAATGTTTCTGATTTGTTCTTAATCTAAAAAGAAAGCTTTGATACTTCACACTAATTATTATGATTACTGTTGATTCTGTATAGATATACGTTATCTGAATAACATTTTCTTTTTCTAGTTTGATAAGAACTGTATGGATCATAAAGTTGACATTCATCAAGCACTTTTAGTTGTGGATGTCTTGCTTAATTGGATTGTAGTAAAATGACACATTTTTAATTTAATCCTTTGAGATTTATTGACATTTAAATCGATTGAAATGAATATGTATTCTGCAATTGTTGGGTGGTTTTTCTCCATCCATTAGCTCAAGCCTATAAATTATGTTTTTTAGATACTTTGCACTATTACCGGCATTAGATTTTCTTATGGTACCAATTAGTGATATATATCAACCTTTTGCTTAAAACTATCTTTACGATTCATTTAAATCTTTCTGCTTCCAGGAAGCCCTTTGTGATCATTAGTATTGACTTTGCTTTCTGTGTTTCACAGTGGCCTCTATATACTATATTATATTTAACCCTCCATTAGCTATAACATCAATAAACTAGAAGTAAATTCATATTTAACAAATTATTGAATCCTCAGTATGGGTGCTAAAATATGAATAAACATGTATGTGTGTTTGTTAATGAAATGAATTTTGGGATCTATATTTAGGCACTTTTCTTACATAGACTACTGTTTATAATTATTGGTTTTATGATGTTCT